>NC_000012.12:38217703-38369218 GCF_000001405.40 Homo sapiens | reverse complement strand
AAAAGCATAAGCATGGGAGTCACTATTCTAAGTTATATTGTTCTACAGCAAAATTCTTTCCGTTAAGTCAAGGTATAAAGTTAAATTCAGCTAACTCCTGTCATGTAAAGTTTCACGCTTTGCAGTGTTTCATTAAACAAAAATCACCAGATGGAAAGAACTTTGGCTAAATCTATTATTTGAAATGCTAATGATTTTGATTTTCACTATTCAAAGGGACATCTTTAATCAATAGAGAAAATTAGTTCTGTTTCTGTAGATAGGAGGGAGAAGGCTTATTTTTAGTTCCTTTTATCACACAAAGATAAACTGAATTTAAAATGGAGAGGTCTGCTTTCACTCGAGCCTTAGTTTTCTAACAGTGAAATAAAGGGGCGAAGTTAGTCATTTCATCCCTGAGGTTAATTTTTGCCTTAAAAATTTCACAGCTATAAGTACAATATTTAAAAAATGTGAGGAGTATAGCAATAGAGGTTAAGATTGTAGCTTTGGCATCAAACAAACCTGGATTCAAGTTCCAGTTCCACTCTCTCCTAGCTGAGGGAATTTGACATGTTATGTAATCTATGTAAGGCTCAGGTTAGTGGTGTCATAATCGCAATAGCATTTAGGCAATTGCTCAAAGTAGGAAACCAATTCTTAACATGTCTTTGTTAAACCCACCTCTCTTCAACACCCAATGCAATCCAAAACCCTAGCAATTCTATATTTCAAATACATCTTGAATCTACCTTATGTTAGTTTTTTAAGGGTGCCATACCAAACTGCCTGAGTGAGTGGCTTAAGAAACAGAAATGAATCCTCACAGCTTTGGAGGCTAGAAGTCTGAAGTCAAGGTGTTGGTAGGCTTGGTTTCATTCTGCTGTCTTCTGTTTGGCTCGCAGATAGCCACATTTTCCCTTTGTCTTCATGTGGTCTTCCTGCTGTGCTTCTGTGTCCTAATCTCCACTTAAAAGTAAACCAGTTATATTGAATTAAGGCCCACTCCTATGACTTCATATGACTTCAGCACCTCTTGAAAGACCTTATCCCAATTATAACCACATTCTAAGAAACTGGGGGTTAGAACTTCAATGTACACATTTTGGCCATGCTTTTGACCTCATTCTTTAACTGACTGACTTCTTTCTTCATATGTCGGTTAAAATTTTGTAAAAATGAATACTGGGCAAGGTGTTGTGGCTCATGCCTATAATCCCAATCCTTTGGGAGATCAAGGTGGGTGGATTGCTTGAACCCAGGAGTTTGAGACCAGCCTAGGCAACATAGTGAATCCATTTCTACCAAAAAAAAAAAAAAAAAAAATTTCCAGATGTGGTGGTGCACACCTGCAGACCCAGCTACCCATAATGATGAGGCAGGAGGATAAAGCAGAAGGATTGCTTGAGCCCAGGAGGTCAAGGCTGCTTTGAGCTTTGATTGTGTCATTGCATTCCAGCCTGGGTAACAGAGCAAGACCCACGTTTTCAGACTCAGGTACACACCCAAGATCCTGATGATGGTTGTTCACCTGGGTCATGACTGGAAATTGCCAGCTGGTCCTGCCGTAAGTTCCCCTCCTAGGCTCCCGCATTCCTTCCACCCCTAGCCCAGCTCCCAACTCAGACAAAATGATGACATCTCTAGTCTGGTTGCAATTCCAACATGAGTACTACTATGCTGTTTTTAATAATATAGCCATTGTAAAACTGACTCGCCAGTTTTCCTTACTTCCAAAAGGTAAAAAATCAAACAAATAATAAAACAAATCTCATGATCAAATGATTTCAGTTTTGCCTCAGTTCTAAATTAACCCTTCAAGGCATCAAAGACTTTTAAATTTAATAATTGTTATCTGTAATAAAAATAGTTGGAGATCTAAATAGCAATTATTTTATTCAGAAAACCTTATAATGCATAACAAAAATGCCTCAATATTTATTCTAAAATAATTTGAGATGCAAAAAGTGCCTTTTTATGTGTATAAATTTAAGAGGTACAAGTGCAATTTTTTTCACATGGGCATATCACATAGTGGTGAAGTCTTGGCTTTTAGTGGGTGTATCACCCCAATAATAATGTACATTATACCCATTAAGTAATTTTTCATTACCTCCCTCCCCCACTTTAACAAAGAATTAGGGCTTTAAAGAAATGAGGACATTCACTTTTAGTGTCAATGAACATTTATACAATGCACTTCACTATGAAAGCAGTTAATAATCTCATTCCAAACAAACTAAAGAAAATTATGCACTATTACCTCATTCACCTTCTTTTTTTTCCCTATTTTTATCTATTCTCTTTCTGCTTTTATTTATAAGTGAGTGGCTTCCAAATCTCCTTGCTGTTCTCCTATCTTTCCAGAGCTCCAACTTATAGCTTATAGTTTATTTATAGCTTCTCTCACATTACTGTCTTTCTTCTCATTCTTACCACAGTCTTCCTACTTCAAGTCTTTTTAGCCCTATTCATGGTTAAAGCAATCTGCATCCAATCTTGTTCTATCCCAATTTTTTCAGGTTGACCTGTGCCACAGTCATATGTAGCACCTCTTTTTTGGCTCTTAAATTCTTTGGCAAAATAAAATCATAGTAGAAAAAATGAATAAATAATGGAAAAACACAGGGCAGAACCACATTCACTTGACTACTCTAATGGGCATTAGTTACTGAGCGGTTTTAGAGTTTACTTAGAACGTTTTCCTTAAGAATGAGACCAAATCATACAACTGATTTTTCTCTTTAGATTAGGTATTTTTCAATATGTAGGCAGTGCTTTGACATAATAGTTGTGTTGAGGGGAAAGATATTAATCTGTTAGCATCCATAGGCTTTTGCTGCTATGCACTCCCTAAGGAGGTTCTGTGTTGGCTACTAGGTTTTAATGAAAGTTTTAAATAAGAGAGAAACGAAGAGCCTACAGAGGCTATTAGCATTCATCTGGCAAGAGGTGAATGTTACCATTTCTTTAGTACTCACTAAAGAAACAGACAAAAATGGGATGAGGAGGATAAAGAACATTTATGAACTGGGATTGAGACAATTTTCAGAAACTTGAAGTAGAGAAAGAATCTTTAGCTTTTGATAAAATGCCTGTGAGACATTGGGGATGGAATGCAAGGACGGGTGAAAAAGAGAAATTCAAGAAGTTTAGTTGCATGCTGTGAATATAACCACTGTGACCTTTTAAGAGGAAGCAATACAGATATGAAATTGCTTTCAATTATTTTTTGATGCTGGATTGATAGTTCTTTGAATGTGATGCGGGGACAAGCTTGGTCATCAAATAGTCCTGGCATCATTTAGGTTTCACAATGATGACAATGTTCGAAAGCAGTTTGATTGCTATAGCAATAGTTAACACTCAGAAGCATGATTCCCAGGTTTTCACAACTTTTATGAAATTTAAATGCACTCTATTTTCAGTTTTCCTAAAACACCGTCATATACAGTCTCAGATATATAATTATAATAATATATACATGAATTGCTTTTTGTAGGTAACAAAAACAGTGTTTATTCATAATTTTATTCATCCTTAAAATAATTAGGTAAAATACTTAGGGTAGATGTCATCTCCACTTTACAAATTAGAAAACATAAACTCATAAAAGTGAATTACCTTGCTCGAGTTTATGAAAATATATAGGTAGAAATTGGCAAAGTGAAAACTAAAATTATATCTTCAGATTTTTATTTCAGAGTTCCTTAATAAATGATAGACTCCAAAATTCTTGTGCAAATAGAAGTACAGAGTTTTTCTGTTTGTGTGTGTGTGTGTTTAGCTTATGCTTTTTCTTAAAGTTTCTTAAAGTTTTCTAATTTGATAGAGGACTCAGTAGGCTGTAAGCACTAACAAGCCACAGGACTTGAAAGGTAATTCCTATTGACAATCTCCTGTTGCCCACTATTCTTCTGAAAGGAAGCTGCTTTTTAAAAAAAATTTTGCTTAGCTGAATCTCAGCCTTGTCACTTGTAAATTGTGTGGTCTTGGGCAAGTCATGTATAGTATTGATAATAGTATTGTCTTGCTGGATATTTGTAAGGATATAATGTAACAGCATAGGGTATTATGTATCATCTTCACCTTTTTTTTTTCTTTCTCCAGTCATCCCATCCCAACCTGTCAATACCTGTCCATCCACTCTCGTCTTTTTTTTTTCTTTCTTTTTGGAGATGCAATCATGCTCTGTTGCCCAGGCTAGAACGCAGTGGCACGATCTCGGCTCACTGCAACTTCTGCCTCCCGGGTTCAAGGGATTCTTCTGCCTCAGCCTCCCGAGTAGCTGGGACTACAGGCGCGCACCACCATGCCCAGCCAATTTTTGCATTTTTAGTACATATGGGGTTTAATCATATTGGCCTGGCTGGTCTCGAACTCACGACCTCATGATCTGCCCGCTTCGGCCTCCCAAAGTGCTGCAAATATAGGCGTGAGCCACTGCACCCGTTTCATTTCAATCCCCAAAGGGCAAGCTACATTAAAACATCAACTTTTCCTTTCTTTTTACTTTCTTATGGTTAAACCAGTTAAATGTGGCTCATTTTAAATAATAGTACACATTTCATACAGAACATTTATGAAAAATATCAACTCAATATTACCAAAAATACCAACTTAATATGACAAGACAAAAAAAAACTCAGTGGTATAATCTAACTAGCTAATAATGGTCTAAAATTCATAGTAATATGAAAAATGGCAGTTCTGGTTATGCTAAAGTTACCTTTACTTCAATGTCTTTATATGATTTGAAAAATACAAAGGAAAATATACAATTGTATTCTCACCTTGTACAAACTTTTTTTAAGTTTCATTGTTTTTTTCAACATTGAGAGTCATGATAAATTTCCCTGAAATTTCATTTTCTGAAAAAATGTAGAGAGGAACACATTTTATTTTATGTATTTATTTATTTATTATTTTTTTAACTTGCCAAACATTTATTATGGGAAGTGATAATGTTTCAAATTTTTTCTGCACTTTGTTTTATATTTTTTAACTCAGCATGATTTTGTTTTCCTGTTCTACTTTTTCTACCTTTATTGGAATAATTTTTTACTTATTGTGCTTTTCTCTCTATTTTTTTTATTATTATACTTTAAGTTCTAGTGTACATGTGCACAATGTGCAGGTTTGTTACATATGTATACATGTGCCATGTTGGTGTGCTGCACCCATTAACTCGTAATTTACATTAGGTATATCTCCTAATGCTATCCCTCCCCGCTCCCCCCACCCCGCAACAGGCCCTGGTGTGTGATGTTCCCCTTCCTGTGTCCAAGTGTTCTCAGTGTTCAATTCCCACCTATGAGTGAGAACATGCGGTGTTTGGTTTTTTGTTCTTGGGATAGTTTGCTGAGAATGATTGTTTCCAGCTTCATCCATGTCCCTACAAAGGACATGAACTCATCCTTTTGTATGGCTGCATAGTATTCCATGATGTATATGTGCCACATTTTCTTTATCCAGTCTATCATTGATGGATATTTGGGTTGGTTCCAAGTCTTTGCTATTGTGAATAATGCCACAATAAACATACATGTGCATGTGTCTTTATAGCAGCATGATTTATAATCCTTTGGGTCTATACCCAGTAATGGGATGGCTGGGTCAAATGGTATTTCTAGTTCTAGATCCTTGAGGAATTGCCACAGTGTCTTCCACAATGGTTGAACTAGTTTACAGTCCCACCAACAGTGTAAAAGTGGAGAGGAGCACATTTTATATATGGCAGAATACACAGTTAAATTCAATCATTTGGTCAGAGATAATCACAAGGTTGTTAAGCATAAAGTAGCAGATACTATAATTATAATGTATCACGAGAACTTAATTTAAAAGTTTAAAGCAGCAAACAGTTTTTAGGTTATTCTGATTCCATGAAGCTTTAAAATGTTTACTGATCACTCATGATGTGCAAAATTGATTAAGTAAGGCAGGTGGTGAAAAAAACAGTTAAACAAAATTTCTCCCATTGAAGGTTAGAATCAGAAAAGAGAGGATAGGATAAAATATATAGTACATTGTACATATGGCAGAAGATAATGCAATCCATAAAAAGGAGGCATGCAATAACTGTAAAGCAACTCTTAAAAAAGGGAGAGACCATATTCTGAAACAGGGTGGGAGACAGTGGTCCAGGACAGTCTGATGGAGACTGGGACATTTGAATTGGGACTGGAAGGAAGTATAATTTCAACAGAGTGGTAGAAACTCTTCAAAGAAGAGTAGCGTAAGACTAGAAGTAGACAAAGTCATGTTTAGACTAATAATGAATAGTACTTTTGTTTAGTTTAAGGCAAGATTGGGTGAGAATATTTCTTGGAAGTAAAGTATGGAGGCCTCTAAAGCCATATTAAAAATTTTAACTTACTTTCATAACCAATAAGGAGTTGCATGATTGAGGCTCTGCTTATGAAAACGTATCTGTCAATTGCAATTAGAAGTAATTGAAAGGGAGAAAAGTGTGGAAAATTAACAATTGTTTAGCTTAAAGTAATAAAGGTCTGAGATAAACATGTGTACACTGGAGTGTTAAGGAGGTAACAAAGATGAGAACTATTGAAGAGGCAAAATTTACAGAACTTTCAATAATTCTGAAGTATCATATGCATGCCCCTAAGAGCCCATATCTTAAATTTACTCTGAAGTATACATAAACTCACTTAATTTTCAAAAACTAACACCCAGATCAAGGAAACGAATATTACTAGTAGCCCCAAAAGACTCCTGCTTCTATTACTGCTTCCACCAATGATACTGACTTTTAACGGCATAGACTATTTTCAATTGCTTTGATACTTTATATAAATAAAATTATCCATTACATTCATTTTGTCTGTCTTCTTTCACTCATTATCATCCTTGTGAATATTTATGCACATTTTTGTGTGTTGGCAGTCTCATTGCCGTACAGTATTATACTATGTAGGCAAATAATAATTAATTAACCCATTCAACTGTTTGTGGGCATTAGAGTAGTTTCCAGTTGGCAGTAATAACATACAATGCTGCTATGAGCTTTTGTGTTCATGCATTTTGGTGAATATATCTAAAATTTCTGTTGGATATATACCTCAGGATGGAATCAATGGATCATGTACATATGCAGCTTTAGTAAATAACGATGGTTTTCTAAAGTAGTTGTACCAATTAACAATCACATCAGACAAAAATGAGAGTTTCAGTTGCTTTGTATCCTTACAAATATTTTGTATTTTCTAACATTTTAGTCCTTCTGGCATGTGTATCATAGTTTGTCTTGGTGGGTTTCATTTGCATGTCTTTTAAATAATTTGTAAAATTACCATCTTTTTTTTTTTCCTTTTTTCCATTTGTATATCCTCTTTTGAGAAGTGGTAAGAGCTTCTCAAATATTCTGGATATAATTCCTTTGTCAGATACATATGTGGCAAGCCTTGGTTGTTACTCCACCTTATTCCTTGCAGCTTAAAATAAATGTAGTGTACCTCTATAATGTAAACTGTAGTTACCTGAAACATTTATGTGTTTGTGTCTGTATGCGTGCTTTTTGAAAGTCTGTCGTCCAAATTTTATTTTCTCCCAAAGAATGAAATTATTTTCATGGCACATCCCATTAGTATTCTCTGCACACACAATACTGTAAATTCTCAAATTCCTTTTAATACATTTTTATTCTGTAGTGATGATTGTTAAGGCATGCTAACTCTTCAGTGGTATCATTTTCACAATTTTGTATCATTAATGAAGACCGTAAAGGCCTTTGTGCCAGCCTAACTGCCTTTCTAAGTTAGATATATGTATAATTTTTGGATATAAAAATTTTCCAACTGACTTCAAGTCACTTGACAGTAATTTTATTCACAAGAAAACTTCAATTCTAATTTTGTTTTAAAAAATGTTAAATAAACTAATGTCTTATATCTGGTGTCTCTCTTTAGTCACTTACTTTCCAACTCATTGAATACGTTTGTCAAAATATATCTGGCTGCACGTTTTCTTGGTAAAACATTAGTTTATTGTTCGTGATTTAATAACCTAAATATCGATGGACCTGGTCTCCTAACAGTTGTTCCTTTATTTAAATTACATTACAAAATTTGACACACATTGTTAGAAAACTACATTTTCATTAACTTATTTTTCTTTTCTACTTAATCATTAAACTTCCTAGAACCTGTTAAGTTTTTTAAAAACCTTAAAAATCTGGTATTATTTCTTTAGAATTGTGTTTATTTTTTCCACTGTCATAAAATCATAGAGTGGAAGGTCCTTTAGCCATCATCTGTTCCAATCTTTCAGCTCATAAATGAGAAAATGAAGACCTATGGTAGTGCTGTGCTTAAAGTCATATAACTTGTTAGTGCAAGCACTGAGGATTTCTAAATTTCTGTCTAATGCTTCTCCATTAAACACACTACTCTATCTTTTTTTATTTATATTTAATAGGTTTTCTTAGAAATATGTAGTTTAAACAGTCAACAACTGCTTTAATACTGAGCCTTGATCCTCAGAAGCAACTGATTTAACTACTAGAACTCTTTCTTCTGCTGTTTATATCTCTAGCTCCAAACAAATATGTTACTTTTTCATATTTTTCAATTCAACTGCATTGTCTGTAGAATTTTTCCTCATGCTACATGCTCATTCCTCAACTCCCTAACCTCCCAATATTTTTACATCACAAATTTTGGTAATAATATTTCCTGTCTATATATAATGACTATTTTTTGAAAGCTGGAATTTATAATTGCCTCATTTTAATTTGCTTAATTTAGTACATATCTATTACTAATTCTTCCCCTAGACTACTTTTTGTAGTCAAACAAATCAGGTAAATTCCCCCATGTACCTGTGTGATTCTAAGGTACATAATTTTTAAATAAACTTTTTAGGATAGTCTTAATTTATAGAAAAATTATGAAAATAGTATAAAGAGTTCCCATACACCCATATTCATTTTTTCCTATTATTAGTGTGATACATTTGTCACAATTAATGAATTGATATTGATTCATTTTTTATTAAGTTCTTACTTCACTCAGATTTCCTTTTTACATAATATCCTTTTTATTTTCCAGAATCTCACCCAGAATCCAAATTACACTTAGTTGTTATAACTCCTTAAACTACTCTTGGGTGTGACAGTTTCATAGATATTTCTTGTTTTTGGTGAACTTGATAATTCTGAGAAGTGTTGGGGAAATAATTTTAGAATGCCCCTGCTATGGTCTGATGTTTCTCCTCCCGCAATTCAAATGTTGAGACCAAATCCTTAGTGCAATAATATTAAGCCGTGGAGTCTCCAGGGGGTAATTAGGTCATGAGGGCTCCACCTCATAAATGGGATTAGTGCCCTTGTAAAAGAGGCCTGAGGAAGCATGCTTGTGCCTTTGCCATGTGAAGATGAAGCAAGAAGGCTCCATCTGTGAAGCAGAGCAAGCTCTCACCAGACACCAGATCTACTGCTGCCTTGGTCTTGGACTTCTTAGCCTCCAACATTGTTAGAAATGAATTTCTGTTACATATAAACCACCAAATCTAAGGTATTTTGTGATATCAGTCTGAATGGACTAAAACAGCCCCTCATTTGGGATTTGATACTTTTCTCATGATTAGATTGGGGTTATGGATTTGGGGGAGGAAGACCACAGAATAAAATCCTCATTACAGCGAATCAAGAATACATACCATCAACATGACGAATCACTGTTGGTGATTGCCTTGATCACTTAGCTGAGCTAGTGTTTGTCAAATTTCTTCACTCCAAGTTTATTCCATTTTTCCCCCTTTCTATACTGTCTCTTTTTAGAAGGGAGCTAATATTGTTCAGCCCACACTTAAGAGGCTGAGAGTTACCATTCACTTCCTTGAGGGTAGATACCTACATAAATTATTTGGAATTCTTCTGGACAGGAGATTTATCTATTCTTCTCCATTTATGTATATATTCAGTCATTTATGTCAGTATGGATTAATGGATATTTACTTTACATTTTTGTTTGTACTTTAATGTTACTTTATTTTGTTGTTCTAATGATTCTAGCTTTGGTCACTGGGAACTCTTTCTGTTGGCCCCTGTGACTCTTTTACATGGAGACACAATGTCCATCATTGTGAGATTTTTTTCTTTTACCATTTTCTTACTTTGTGGCACTAGCATATGCTCCAAGGACATTTTGTATATTTTCCATTCTGGTCTAAAGACCAGCCATTTCTGTAAGAAGTCTTTGTTCCCTTATTGGAGAATGGCATTAAAAATCAAGATTTGGGCATGGGGCATGACTGTTGCTTCTGCAGCATCATTGCTTCCAGGTTTTCTCAGCTGATGGGCAAGGAAATATGTGCATACTAATCTATTTACGCAAGTTACATTTTATATGTCACTTGTGGATTACATTAAGCTAAACATGAGTTCACATTTGATATCTTCAGTATATTTCCAAATTTAATCCTTTATGACATGTATCATTCTAGCCTCCTTTCTTTGCTTATTTCTAACCTTCCATACCAAGAGTGAGAAACATTGCTCCCAATTAAGTAAATACATCCCCTGTGTATTTACTTAATTTCTCAATTCCAGTATACATATTTAGTGGTTTCAGAATTGTTAACCTATAGCTCTGTAAGAAACAACCTTATCTACTAAAGTATAATGCTTATGTTTTGTCTTTATTCCTACAGACCATATTCATATCCAAATTCAGAACCATTTTCCCCCACTGTAGTAATACAGTTAGATACTTTTGATGCATTCTGAGTTCCATTCTAAGATTCCTTGACCTCCTAAATGACTTTTAAACATTTTCATACAACAGAGTTAAGTATTTGTACTGTAAAATTCTATGGGTTTTGACAAATGCATAGTGTCAGGCAGTCACCGTTATAGTATCATACAAAATCTTTTTCAACACCCTAAAAGCAATCCCTACGTTCCACTATTCAACTCTCCTCCTTCCAAACCCTTGGCAAAGACTGATTGGTTTTCCAAGTCCAAATTTTGCCGTTTTCAAAATGTGACATAATTGGCATCCTATAGCACATAGCCTTTTCAGACTGGCTTTTTTTCATTTGGCAGCATGCATTTAAGATGCATCTGTATTTGTTTATACTTTGATAGCTCATTCCTGTTTTAGTGCTGAATAGCATTACATTATATGAATGTACTTGAATTTTTCTATTTACCTATGTAAGGACATCTTGGTTGTTTTCAGTTTGAGGCCATTATGAATAAAGCTGCTACAAACATTTGTATATAGGTTTTGTATGAACATAAGTTTTCAAAGCACTTGGGCAGATATCTAAGAGTGTAGTTGCTAGATTATATGGCAAGACTATGTTTAGCTTTGCAAGAAACCACCAGTCTTCCAAAATGGCTCCACCATTTTTTATTCCCACCAGGAATTAATGAGAGTTTGAATTGCTCTGCATACTTGCTATCATTTGGTATTGTCAGCTTTTTTTGTATGCTAAACAGTCTAATAGGTGTATAGTGGTATCTCATTGTTGCTTTAATTTGCATTTTCCTGCTGACACATGATGTTAAATGTCTATTTGTATGCTTACTTCCTGTCTGCATATCATCTTTGATGACATGTTTGTTCAGAACTTTTGCTCACTTTTTAATTGGGCTTTTTTGTTGTTGCTGAGTTTTAAAAGGTTTTTCTGGTATATTTTGGATATAAGTCCTTTATCATATATTTGTGTTGTACATATTTTCTCCCAGTCTATGAATTGTGTTATTGTTTTAAGAGTCTCTTTTGCAGAGCAGAAATTTTTAATTTTAATAAGGTTTTTTAGATTTTTATTTCATGGATCATGCTTTGGTGCTGTATCTAAAAACTCATCAACAAACCGAAGGTCAATTAGATTTTCTCCCATGTTTCATCCTCCAGAAAATTTATTGTTTTGCATTTTAAATTTAGGTCTCTGTCTTAGTCCATCTGCGCTGCTATAACAAAATACTTGAGGCAGGGTAATTTAGAAAGAAGACAAATTTATTTCTCACAGTTCTGGAGGTGAAGTCCAAGATCAAGGCATCAGAAGGTTTGATGTCTGGTAAGGGCTCCATCTTGGCTTCTAAGAAGTTGCCTTACTGCTGCATACTCTGGAGGGGTGAAATGCTGTGTCCTCAAAGGGTGGCATGAATGGCAGGGCTAGAAAGGAGCAAACTCCCTCTGTCAAGCCTTTTTATAAGGGCACCATATCCTGTTTATGAGGGCAGGGACTTCATGACTCAATTACCTCTTAAAGGCCACACTTCTTACTACTGTTGCATTAGGAATTAAGTTTCAACATAAATTTTGACAAAAGCATTCAAACTATAGCAGACTCTGATCCATTTTACATTAATTTTTGTGAAAGGCCTGTAAATATCTGTTGTAGGAGTGTTTGCTTGTGTGGCTGGCTCATGTGGCAGCATTGAATCCTTCTCAATCTCTTTAAGCAGTGAAAAAGCTCAGATGTAGAGTTCTACTCTCTGTAATTTACTGTAATTTAAACTTTAGCACAAAAACATTTTCTTCAGTATAACTCTAGATTTTTTTCAGTGCACATGTCTATGCTAAAATTTAGAGGCACTGGACATTTAAAAAGTTTCTCTATAACTTTACAGAAAGTTTCTGGCTTTCCCAAACTAAGACTAGATACCTTGCAGAAAATGAAACAGAAAATTTGAACTATTCTATATCTTATTTAGAAATTTTCATTTTCCTTGAGCCATGTAAAATTATAAACCACTGTTTATAATTATTTGGGGTTTAATAAAAAAAGTTCATTGATCACATTTATAGTTATTATTCTTAATGATAAAGTGAGATCTTTCTAGATTTATTTAACATTCTATTTTCAATTTTTTAAAGCATTTCCAATTTCAGTTAACTTACACAATTTTTTAAGTAGAAAAAAAGTTTTACTGAATACAGTTAAGATAGTTGGAAGCTGGGGTCCTAATTTCCTCCCCAATTTAGAAAATGAAAGAGATATTGGGGATACATTTAAGAGTGAGCCAGGAAAAAACTCAGACTCTCACTTCTACCATAGCATTTTCAAGTAAGAAATCATACAGAAAACTGCTATAATATTGGCAACACGGAGTGAGATTATCAGTAAGGGAGGAAAACAGTATTTTATTTATCAATCAAGAGGAAGTCCCACATGCTCCCAAGTAATACTTTTCATCATACTCCTTTTAATAACCAGAGGATGTACCTTTTAGTGCTGTGGTACCAAGTCAGCCCTTAGTAAGTGTGGAGCCTATGAATGTCAAGTAAAGAAAGCTGTCAAAATGGAATCAGAATCCTTTGAAAATATTCACCTTTGCAGTGATGTCACTCTAACTGTGCAATGCTTTTAACTTTTTAAAGTGTTTCTAAATATTAAGCATGCCAAGCTCTGAATTCTAAGATACAATACCTCAATAGATTCAAATCTTAGTGGATTGGACCTTGACCTGGATATAAGGCTTTCCCTTTTACTAAAACTGAATTTAGACATAAAAGCTTTTTTTCTCTTTCACTATGCAATAGGAAACTTGACTTACTTAGTGTCTAGCATCAGCTACTACTTTAAGAAACATTTTCTTGCCAGGATTTTGATACCCTTTATTAGTGTCTGCTGACTGGTAGAGAACATATATGAGGGAGAAATGCTCAGAAGATTCTAGCTTGTGGCAAATCTGATAGGAAACAGGTCAAATATAAATCATAGCATTGACAAGGAAGACAACTCTAATTAGCATTTCTATTTATGCTTAATTTTTCAGCATGTTAAGAGAGGGAACATGAAGATGAAACTGTAACTGCTTGGTGGCAAAAATAATCTGTTTTCTGGCAATTTTTGAAAGCATCAACTAAAATAAGAAATTATTAAATATAGATATAAGTTATTTTATATCATACTTATGTAAGTATCAAATTTTGATTAAGGTCACCTTTAACCCATAAAAGAAAAAAACTAATATGAATGGGTCAAGAAGAATAATAAAATGATAGGGGAGACTCAGGAAAACAATGGATGTTATTATGTAATAGTAAGACAAATCACTGAGTTAGGATTCAGGAGGACTGAATGTTTGTTTTAGCTCGGCTGCTACATGGCTATTTGATTTTAGGCAAAGTGGTCACTTCATCTCTTGGATTCAATTTCTCCATCTGTTACATCGGGGTCACAGCATCTGAGATCTTTTCCATCTTTCAGTTTCTCTGAATACATAAGAAGAAATAACACAGGTCAAAACATTTTGAAAAATATAAAACTCTACACAAGAGCAAGGTGTTACTGTCATTGGTGAAATTTCTTACCTAAAGACAACAGGGACAGATTTCACAGCTGTTACTGACAAGTGGGGAGATTCTGCAGGTGGGTCATGTAGACATGCTGCTTCAGGCTGAGCCTTGCAGGAGTGAGGAACTTCACACCCAAATAACTGCTAAGAGAAACAGTGCCATTGATGGCCTCCATGCCTGGGAGTCTTTACAGCAATGTACACAGGACTAGGAGGGCAATGTTGCAAAACCTCATAATCTTGTAGCCCCTTCTTGAAAGCAGAAATATAATAGGACAATTTCCATAGCAGAATTTTACTTCTTTTAGCCTCCAAAAAGATCAAAGAATTCCCAGGCATCTCTACAGATTAGCCTTTTTCAACTGGCCTTTCTAGCCCTTTAAGAATCAGCATTCTCATGAACATAGGCTTCTTTATTCCTTAAGAAAAAAAGATGAACAAAATGTGATTGGTTATTATTTACTAATGTTTACATACATACACTTCATCTGAGAAGTCTCAGCTCCAAATGCAGTTGATGAGGGCTGGAAAAGTGACAAAATGAACACTTGTTTCACTTCAAGTTTCCCTAGGCCCTTCTTCCCTACTGTCCCCACCCCCTTGCCCCCCACAGCTATTTAAAAGATGTCATTTTTATTTATTTATATACTCATTAAATAGGTAATAATTTACATGATCATCAAAATGATATAAAAAATCTATTAAAAAGTTTGCCCTGTTGGATATCCCCTCTCACCACTCCTATTCAACACAGTGTTGGAAGTTCTGGCCAGGGGAATCAGGTAGGAGAAGGAAATAAAGGGTATTCAGTTAAGAAAAGAGGAAGTTAAATTGTCCCTGTTTGCAGCTGACATGATTGCATATTTAGAAAACCCCATCATCGCAGCCCAAAATCTCCTTAAGCCGATAAGCAACTTCAGCAAAGTCTCAGGATACAAAATCAATGTGCAAAAATCACAAGCATTCTTATACACCAGTAACAGACAAACAGCCAAATCATGAGTGAACTCCCATTCACAATTGCTTCAAAGAGAATAAAATACCTAGGAATCCAACTTACAAGGGATGTGAAAGACCTCTTCAAGGAGAACAACAAACCACTGCTCAAAGAAATAAAAGAGGATACAAACAAATGGAAGAACATTCCATGCTCATGGGTATGAAGAATCAATATCATAAAAATGGCCATACTGCCCAAGGTAATTTATAGATTCAATGCCATCCCTATCAAGCTAACAATGACTTTCTTCACAGAATTGGAAAAACTACTTTAAAGTTCATATAGAACCAAAAAAGAGCCCACATTGCCAAGACAATCCTAAGCAAAAAGGACAAAGCTGGAGGCATCAGGCTACCTGACTTCAAACTATATTATAAGGCTATAGTAACCAAAACAGCATGGTACTGGTACCAAAACAGAGATATAGACCAATGGAACAGAACAGAGCCCTCAGAAATAACACCATATATCTACAACCATCTGATCTTTGACAAATCTGGCAAAAACAAGCAATAGGGAAAGGATTCCCTATTTAATAAATGATGCTGGGAAAACTGGCTAGCCATACGTAGAAAGCTGAAACTGGATCCCTTCCTTACACCTTATACAAAAATTAATTCAAGATGGATTAAAGACTTAAATGTTAGACCTAAAACCATAAAAACGCTAGAAGAAAACCTAGGTAATACCATTCAGGACATAGGCATGGGCAAGGGTTTCATGTTTAAAACAGCAAAAGCAATGGCAACAAAAGCCAAAGTTGACAAATGGGATCTAATTAAACTAAAGAGCTTTTGCACAGCAAAAGAAACTACCATAAGTGAACAGGCAACCTACAGAATGGGAGAAAATTTTTGCAATCTACTCATCTGACAAAGGGCTAATATCCAGAATGTACAAAGAACTCAAACAAATTTACAAGAAAAAAACAACCTCATCACAAAGTGGGTGAAGGATATGAACAGACACTTCTCAAAAGAAGACATTTATGCAGCCAACAGACACATCAAAAAATGCTCATCATCACTGGCCATCAGAGAAATGCAAACCAAACCTCACTGAGATACTATCTCACACCAGTTAGAATGGCGATCATTAAAAAGTGAGGAAACAACAGGTGCTGAAGAGGATGTGGAGAAATAGGAACACTTTTACACTGTTGGTGGGACTGTAAACTAGTTCAACCATTGTGGAAGTCAGTGTGGCGATTCCTCAAGGATCTAGAACTAGAAATACCATTTGACCCAGTCATCCCATTACTGGGTATATACCCAAAGGATTATAAATCATGCTGCTATAAAGGCACATGCACACATATGTTTATTGAGGCACTATTCACAATAGCAAAGACTTGGAACCAACCCAAATGTCCAACAATGATAGACTGGATTAAGAAAATGTGGCACATATACACCATGGAATACTATGCAGCCATAAAAAAAGATGAGTTCATGTCCTTTGTAGGGACATGGATGAAATTGGAAATCATCATTCTCAGTAAACTATCATAAGAACAAAAAACCAAACACTGCATATTCTCACTCATAGGTGGGAATTGAAGAATGAGAACACATGGACACAGGAAGGGGAACATCACACTCTGGGGACTGTTGTGGGGTGGGGGGAGGGGGGAGGGATAGCTTTAGGAGATATACCTAATGCTAAATGATGAGTTAATGGGTGCAGCACACCAGCATGGCGCAGGTATACATATGTAACTAACCTGCACATTGTGCACATGTACCCTAAAACTTAAAGTATAATAATAATAAAATAAAATAAAAGATTAGACAAAACAGTGATACCTAAATATACTTATAATAAATTACTCATTTTTTAAAATAAAACAGTGGAAATACAAAAAAAAAAAAAAAGAAAATGTGACACATATACACCATGGAATACTATACAGCCGTAAAAAAGGATGAGTTCATGTCCTTTGTAGGGACATGGATTAAGCTGGAAACCATCATTCTCAGCAAACTATCCCAAGAAAAAAAACCAAACACCGCATGTTCTCACTCATAGGTGGGAAATGAACAATGAGAACACTTAGACACAGGAAAGGGAACATCACACACTGGGGCCTGTCATGGGGTTTGGGGAGTGGGGAGGGAAAGCATTAGGAGATATACCTAATGTAAATGAGGAGTTAATGGGTGCAGCACACCAACATGGCACATCTATACATATGTAACAAACCTGCACATTGTGCACATGTACCCTAGAACTTAAAGTATAAAAAAAAAATTGAAAACAAAAAGTTTGCCCTGTCCATCCAATTTATCTCCTGAGCCTTGCAATCAGCCTTTTTAGTTGCTTCTATATCTATTCAGTGTTTCTTTATATGTATCAACACATCTGTTTGCATGTCTTCTTATTTATCTTCTTTATCACACAAAAAGGTTATGTGCCCAATACATTCTTGTGCTCCTTGTCCCCAAACTTTTCTAATATAGCCTGCCATTTATGCACTTTGTAATGTAATGGTCACATGGTCCCATTTATAGTAAGCAGAAAAAGCCGAGTCTGATTCATTGAAAGGTTATTGCCCTTCTGAGGAGGAAATTAAAACTATGTAGCAATCTTAATTTTAAAGTAAATTGTGGTGCTGTGGCATAGCTGTGACCCTAAGCAACAATCTCATCTAACAGTCTTAGAACATTCTGTTGGCATTTGATATCCTTAATAGCCCAAAGAAACCACATAAAAGTGCTTTAAAAAAAGACTTGTTGAATTCAATTAAATTTAGAAGAAACTTGGCTGTTTTGCTTTTGTTTCACTTTTGCTTTAGTTTAAAAACTGTGAGGATGAGGCAAGTAGCTTAGATGTTAAAACTTAAGTAATAAACAGATGGGGAGAAGACATAAGTGTGAAAAACTGTCAGTCTATCCATCCATTCATGCATGCAGCAAGAATTACTGAGCTCCTGCTATACTCCAGAAATGATTCCACACCCTGGGGATACAGTGGTAAAAATGCCAAGCTCATAACAGCTTGATGCCTGTATTCTAGGCTCTAGCATATTCTGTTACCCTATACAAAGGCACTATGACCTGCCACCAAAATTACTGCTCTGCCTCCTATCTCATTTCCTCATTTCTATCCATCCAGCCTTTGGTCTACACTCATAACAGCAGCCAGATTTGTTCTGTTAAAAAACAAAGGCCAGATGATGTCATCCCTACTCAAAATCCCCTGATAGTTTCTCATCCCCTTTGAGTAAAAGCCAACGTTCTTATAAAGCTTACACGATCTAGCTCTCTTACTGATCAGTGAAACTACATAATGATACATTTGGATATAAAACATTATAAAGACTATGAAAAATGTAGAGTAATATATAACAGCATTTCTCTTTCCACTGAGCAATATTAAGTACTTAGTGTGTACAGATTACTGATGCTACCTCTTTAGATTCCAGGTATGAGAACGGTTATGGCTGAGTACTAAGTGCAGGCATTGGCTTAAGTAACCATAGATTTCCTTTCATAAAAGCATTGACATATTTAATGGAAGTGGTAGATAAACATTCATTATTTCTGCTGTACCATTGTCCTATCTATCCATTAAGAAAATACGCAAGAAAGCACAGCAGAAAAAAAGTTGGTTGAAAATAGTAGATTTAGGCAAGACTGAATTGAAGATCTTTAATTCTTTCCCTTGGAATTTCTCAGAGTTCAGAGACAGGCTCAATAATAAAACAATTCAATGCCTTAAATGAAATATAAATCAATGCCTTAAAAAATACTGTTTTATTTTGCAAATGAATGAAAAGATCCCAACTTTATGTTTCCCAAAACATCGAAAAGAGGATTAAAAAGGTGGTTGGCTATATTTTTTTCCAAACAGAGTCACATATTAAATGTTACAGATAATTTTCAGCCAACTGACAGGAAGACTTTTAATCTATAATAGTTTTATATCCTTCCATGTAACTTTTGGTAAAGTGGATTATACGGCTAGGATTTCCAGACAATATACTAAAAACAAAACCACTCTCAATTCCTTGAAAGAAAATAGTTCATACTATTTACCATGGCTGCATTCTGAATTTTAAATGCAAATAGTACGTTTATGCAATGACACTCAAAAAATCTATTGAATGAATTAATAAACAAATAGATCCAAATAAGTCTTTCTTGCATATTGATTAGTGGAAAGAAAACAAAGAACCAGAACCATCTAGGAGATTTACCTATATTTGGGATAGGAACCTCTCTTCCTCTGGAATTCCTTGCAGGGACATGCATTTAAGTTGCGCTTTAGATCCCACGAAGCAGCATGGGGGTGCAGAAAGAGAAGGCTGGTGGTGGTCAAAGACTCCTGAGCTCATATCATGGCATCCTGTTTGCTAGCTGACAAAGTGATCTTATGTGTGTTAGTTCTGTGGTTCCATTTTGCTATCTATAAAATTTGCCTAACACTACCTCCCTTACAGAAACATAGTGAGGATAAAGGAGATAACATCTGTACAGATCTCATGGTCTTTGCATTTAAGTTCTCTCTCATTGAAATACTCTTTTCTCAACACATTGCTTAGCTGTTTCCTTCTTTTTATATTTTTTCCATAGGTTATTGGGATACAGGTGATATTTGGTTACATGAGCATGTTCTTTAGTGGTGATTTGTGAGATTTTAGTGCACCCATCATCCAAACAGTATACATTGCACCCTATTTGTAGCCTTTTATCCCTTGCCCCTCTACCACTCTTCCCCCCAAGTCCCCAAAGTCCATTGTATCATTCTTATGCCTTTGCATCCTCATAGCTTAGCTCCCACATATCAGTGAGAACATACAATGTTTGGTTTTCCATTCCTGAGTCACTTCACTTAGAATAATAGTCTCCAGTCTCACCCAGTTTGCTGCAAATGCTGTTAATTCATTCTTCTTTTTCTCTGGGTAGATACCCAGTAGTGGGATTGCTGGATCAAATGGTAGTTCTAATTTTAGTTCTTTAAGGAATCTCCCCACTGTTTTCCATAGTGGCTGTACTAGTTTACATTCCCACCAGCAGTGTAGAAGTGTTCCCTGATCACCCCATCCACACCAACAGCTACTGTTTTTTTGATTTTTCGATTATGTCCATTCTTGCAGGAGGAAGGAGGTACTGCATTGTGGTTTTGATTTGCATTCCCCTGATAATTCGTGATGCAGAGGAGTTTTTCATGTTTTTTGGCCATTTGTATATCTTCTTTGAGAATTGTCTATTCAGGTCCTTAGCCCACTTTTTGATGGGATTGTTTGTTTTTTTCTTACTGATTTGTTTGAGTTCATTGTAGATCCTGGATATTAGTCCTTTGTCAGATGTATAAATTGTGAAGATTTTCTCCCACTTTGTGGATTGCCTGTTTACTCTGCTGATTGTTCCTTTTGCTGTGCAAAAGGCTCTTTAGCTTAATTAAGTCCCAGCTATTTATCTTTGTTTTTATTGCATTTGCTTTTGGGTTCTTGCTCATGAAATCCTTGCCTAAGCCAATGTCTAAAAGGGTTTTTCCAATGTTATCTTCTAGAATTTTTATAGTTTCAGGTCTTAGATTTAAGCCCTTAATCCATCTTGAGTTGCTTTTTGTACAAGGTGAGAGCTGAGGATCCAGTTTCATTCTCCTACTTGTAGCTAGCCAATTATCCCAGCACCATTTGTTGAAAAGGGTGTCCTTTCCCCACTTACTGTTTTGGTTTGGTTTGTTGAAGATCAGCAGGCTGTAAGTATTTGGGTTTATTTCTTGGTTCACTATTCTATTCCATTGGTCTATGTGCCTATTTTTGTACCAGTACCATGCTGTTTTGGTGACTATGGCCTTGTAGTATAGTTTAAAATCAGGTAGTGTGATGCATTCAGATTTGTTCTTTTTGCTTAGTCTTGCTTTGGCTATTTGGGCTCCTTTTGGTTTCATGTGAATTTTAGAATTGTTTTTTCTAACTCTGTGAAGAATGATGGTGGTATTTTGATGGGGATAGCATTGAATTTGTAGATTGCTTTTGGCAGTATGGTCATTTTCACAATATTGATTCTACCCATCCATGAGTATGGGGTGTGTTTTCATTTGTTTGTGTCATCTATGATTTCTTTCAGCAGTGTTTTGTAGCTTCCCTTGTAGAGGACTTTCACCTCCTTTGTTAGGTATATTTCTAAGTATTTTTATTTTTATTTTTGCAGCTATTTTAAAAGGAGTTGAGTTCTTGATTTGATTCCTACTTGGTCACTGATGGTATATAGAAGAGCTACTGATTTGTGTACAATAATCTTGTATCCAGAAACTTTGCTGAATTCTTTCATCAGTTCTAGGAGCTTTCTGGAGGAGTCTTTAGGGTTTTCGAGGTAAATGATCATATCATCAGCAAACAGTGACAATTTGACTTCCTCTTTATTGATTTTGATGCCCTTTATTTCTTTCTCTTGTCTGATTGCTGTGTTTAGGATTTCTAGTACTATGCTGATGAGGAGTGATCTGGAAGTAGGCATCCTTGTCTTGTTTCATTTCTCAGAGAGAATGTTTTCAACTTTTCCCCATTCAGTATTATGTTGGCTGTTGGTTTGTCATAGATGGCTTTAATTACATTGAGGCATGTCCCTCGTATGCCAATTTTGCTGAGAGTTTTAATCATAAAGTGATGCTGCAGTTTGTCAAATGCTTTTTCTGCATCTATTGAGATGATCATATGACTTTTGTTTTAAATTCTGTTTACGTGGTGTATTACATTTATTGACTTGAGTATGTTAAGCCATCCCTGCATCGCTGGTATGAAATCCACTTGATCATGGTGGATTCTCTTTTTGATATGCTGCTGGATTTGGTTAGCTAGTATTTTCTTAAGGATTTTAGCATCTATCTTCATCAGGGATATTGGTCCATAGTTTTCTTTTTTGGTTACGTCATTTGCTGGTTTTGGTATTAGGGTGATGCTGGCTTCATAGAATGAATTAGGGAAGGTTCCCTCTTTATCTTGTGGAATAGTGTCAAAAGGATTTTTGCCACTTCTTCTTTCAATGGTAGAATTCTGCTGTGAATCCATCTGGTCCTGGACTTTTTTTTGTTGCTAATTTTTAAATTACCATTTCAATCTCACTCCTTGTTATTGGTCTGTTCAGGGTATCTAATTCTTCCTGACTTAAGCTGGAAGGATTGTTTTTCCAGGAATTTATCCATCTCCTAGTTTTTCTAGTTTATGTGCATAAAAGTGTTCATAGCAGCCTTGAATGATCTTTTTTATTCCCGTGTTGTCAGTTGTAATAGTTGTTTCCTTTCCTAATGAGGTTATTTGGATTTTCTCTCTTCTTTTCTTGGTTAATCTTGCTAATGATCTATCAATTCTATTTACCTTTTCAAGGAACCAGCTTTTTGTTTCATTTATCTTTTTATTTTTTTTTATGTTTCAATTTCTTCTAGTTCTGCTCTGATCTTTGTTATTCATTGTGCTATTTGTTGCCTGTGTATCTTGGGTGTTTCCTTTTGTGTTTTTGCTTTTTAACTTGTATTTTTGTTTTATATGTCCTGTGTGATTTATGCTTTAAAGAGTTCTCTTTTGATGTGTTTCCAGGATTTGTTTCAAGATTTAGAGCTCCTTGTAGCAGTTCTTGTAGTGGTGGCTTGGTAGTGGTGAATTCTCTCAGCATTTGTTTGTCTGAAAAAGACTGTAACTTTCCTTCATGTGATACTTAGTTTTGCTGGATGCAAAATTCCTGGCTGATAATTGTTTTGTTTGACAAGGCTGAAGATAGGGCCCCAATCCCTTCTAGCTTGTAGTGTTTCTGCTGAAAAATCTGCTGTTAATTTTATAGGTTTTCCTTTATAGGTTACCCGGTGCTTCTGTCTCACAGCTCTTAAGATTCTTTCCCTCATCTTAACTTTGGGTAACCTGATGACAATGTGCCTCAGTGAAGAACTTTTTGCAATGAATTTCCCAGGTGTTCTTTGTGCTTCTTGTATTTGCATGTCTAGGTCTCTAGTAAGGCTGGGGAAGTTTTCCTCAATTATTCCCCCAAATATGTTTTCCAAACTTTTAGATTTCTCTTCCTCTTCAGGAATACTGATTATTTTTAGGTTTGGTCATTTAGCATAATCCCAGACTTCTTGGAGGCTTTGTTCATATTTTCTTATTCTTTTTTCTCTGTCTTTTTTGGATGGGTTAATTTGAAGACCTTGTGTTTGAGCTCTGAATTTCTTTCTTCTACTTCTTCATTTCTATTGCTGAGACTTTTCAGAGAGCATTTTGCATTTCTATAAGTGTGTCTGTTTCCTGAAGTTTTGATTTTTTTTTCTTTATGCTATTTCCTTGAATATGTCTCCTTTCAATTCTTGTATTGGTATTGGATTTCCTTGCATTGGGCTTCACCTTTCTCTGGTGCCTCCTTGGTTAGCTTCATAACTAACCTCCTGAATTCTTTTTCAGGTATTTCAGGGATTTCTTCTTGGTTTGATCCATTGCTGGTGAGCTAGTGTGATTTTGGGGGGATGTTAAAGAACCTTGTTTTGTCATATTACCAGAGCTGGTTTTCTGGTTCCTTCTCATTTGGGTATGCTCTGTCAGAGGGAAGTTTTAGAGCTGAAGCTGTTCAGATTCTTTTGACCCACAGAGTTTTTCCTTGATGTAGTGCTCTCCCCCTTTTCCAATGGATGTGGCTTCCTGACAGCCAAGCTACAGTGATTGTTATCTCTCTTCTGGATCTAGCCACCCAGCAAGTCTACCAGGCTCCGGGCTAGTACCAAGGGGTTGTCTGCACAGAGTCCTGTGACGTGAACCATCTATGGGTCTCTCAGCCATTAATACCAGCACCTGTTCCGGTGGAGGTGGCAGGGGGGTGAAATGGACTCTATGAGGAGTTCTTAGCTTTGGTGGATTAATGATTTATTTTTGTGTTGGTTGGCCTCCTGCCAGGAGGTGGCACTTTCCAGAAAGCATTAGCTGTGGTAGTATGGAGAGGAACCAGTGGTGGGCAGGGCCCTAGAACTCCCAAGAGTATATGCTTTTTGTCTTCAGGTACCAGGGACCTGAAGGGAAGGCCCATCAGGTCGGGGCAGGACTAGGCATATCTGAGCTCAGACTCTCCATGGGTGGGTCTTGCTGTGGCTGCTGTAGGGGATGGGGGTGAGGTTCCCAGGTCAAAGCAGTTGTGTACCTAGGAGGATTATGGCTGCCTCTGCTGAATCATGCAGATTGTCAGGGAAGTGGGGGGAAGCTGGCAGTCACAGGCCTCACACAGCTCCCATGCAATCCGAAGGGC
The DNA here is from genome assembly GCF_000001405.40 of Homo sapiens. Taxonomy (NCBI): domain Eukaryota; kingdom Metazoa; phylum Chordata; class Mammalia; order Primates; family Hominidae; genus Homo; species Homo sapiens. The sequence goes on along the minus strand of NC_000012.12, from coordinate 38,344,740 downwards.
TGCTCTCACTCCCACTGTGCCTCCACCTAAGAGCACTGAGTCTGTTTCCAGGCAGTGAGCAAGCAGGGCTTGAGAACTTGCCCCAGGCTACCCACCACCTAGCTGTGAAAGAAAGGGCTTTGGTTCTTCCCCCTGCCTGTGGAGTCTGTATGCCAGATTCATGCTTTCCCCTGTTGTGGTGATCAGACCCAACACCAGGCTGTGGGGGCTACGAAGTCCGGCAGAGTCAAAGAAATGAGACAAGACAAGTTATAAGTACATAGGGTGGGTCCAGGGGGCTAATGCTAGCATGGAGGCTGCAAAGCCCCTGAGTTCTGGGAGCCCACACTATTTATTGGTAATCAAACAAAGAAGCAGGTGGTGAGGATGTGCAGATGTAGGGGTAGGCAGGTGAGGACATGAGGATGTGGGGGTAGAAAGGTAGTGATACATCAAGTGTAGCTGTGATGGCTTAGCCTATGCTCTGCTACTTGAGATAATGGAGAGCAGGTTCTTTTAACTCAAAATACAATTGATCCTGGGAGAGCAAGGAGCAAGGAGCCAGTGAGTCTGGACACATTCCAGAGGCCATGAGGGGTTTTATGCCTGGAGCCCTGGATTCTCTCCAAGCCACAAGAGGTATTATGCCCTGGGCTTAGGTTGTGGTGCAGCAGGGCAGCCTTCCACCCTTTGGCACAGAGCTTGGTGTTCCATAGGCCATGAAAGGTTTTAGACCCTGGACCCAGGACATGTTCCAAGACTCTTTTACATTATGTCAGACAAGCAAGCCCTGCCTCAGCCCTTCTACCAACATCCCCCGAATTCTGGCCAGGAGGCTTCTCACCTGGTTCAAATTGTTACAAAGTTCAGCTGGAGACTTCCCTGTGGCATTTCCCTGCACCTCTGGCTGCCCTCCTGAAGGATCCCTGTGGTTCCAGGAAGGAATGGCCTGCTTGGGGACCCAGTGAGCTCCCAGGGCCTTTCCTGCTGCTTCCTCTACCCCTGTATTTTGCTTAGCTCTCTAAATTGACTCAGCTCCAAGTAAAGCCAGAAACTTCTCCTGCAAACTAGACCTTCAGTTTCCCCCTGGGGGTGTATGTTTGGGAGTGGAGGATCTCCCTTTCCCACTTCTGCAGTTTGGGCACTCACAGTATTTGGGGTGTCTCCCAGGTTCTGCAGGAACAGTCCGCTTCCTTCAGAGGGTCTGTGGGTCCTCTTGGGATTCCTGCAGTCATTTGTTCTTGCAGTCATTCCGGAGCTAAAATTCCACGATAAGAGCCTCCGCATGCTGCTACATCTGTCTGAGTCAGAGCTGCAATCTAGTCCTGCCTCCTGTCTGCCATGATGAACTTTGGTCAAGCAGCTGTTTCCTTCAGGTTTTGACACAAATATTTCCTTCTAAGAGATACCTTCACCTATTTCTCAGGGTCCCCCTCTTGACTTATCTCTATTATATCACCCTTTTAACATTTTCTTCATAGCATTTACTAGTATCTGAAATTACAGTCAGGTGCCACATAATGATGTCGGGGTCATCAATGGGCTTCATGTATGACAGTGGTCCCCTAAGATTATAATACAGTATTTTTACTGTACATTTTCTATGTTTAAATACATAAATACTTACCATTGTGTTACAGTTGCCTACAATATTTGGTACAGTAACATGCTGTAAAGGTTTATAGCCTAGGAGCCATAGGCTATACCATATAGCATAGCTGTGTAGTAGGATACACCCTCTAGGTTTGTGTAAGTACACTATGATGTTCACAAACAGATGAAATCACCTAACAATGTATTTCTCAAAATGTATCGCCGTTGTTAAGTGACACATGACTAAATGCTGTTTCCTTGATTATGATCTGTCTCTTTTACTAGAATGTAACCTCTTTGAAACCAGGAACCTTGTCTACCTAGTTCACTGCTTCATCCCCAGCCTTGAAAAGTAAATGTGCTGTATGAATGAATAACAATTTCCAGCTCACAGGTGTTATTCAATACATGTCAATTTACCCTATTTTCCTAGGGCATGGCCAATATTTAAAATAGTTCAGAACATACCGCAAGTGATCAATATTTAGTGATAATTGATCATTGATTATTGAAACTTATTGATAATGGAAAAACATAGGAAAAAATTTTATACTGCAAGAACTTCTAGATTCAGTCCTGAAAACGTGTCCTTTAGTATATTTACTTTGATTTTCACAAACCTATACATGTGGCTATTTTTCCTTGCAAAATATGTTCTCATCTGAATGTGAACCCGTATGGCACTTCCAACCACCAACTCTTTATAAAATTGGATAACAAAGTCTCTGGAGGTTTAAGATAAGTAACGTCTTCAGCCAAAAATTCACTTCAGAATGGTTAGTTTTCTTCTTTGTCTTTGTTTATCATGTCTTATGAGTGATGACTAGTTTCAAAAAGACTTTTATTTTACTTTATGCGACGGGCAGTAGTCAGAAAAAAAGGAATTGATCTTGGACTTGAAGAAACAGCCCCAGAGGTGAGAGAGATAGTCGTTAACCTGCACAGCCTCTTTCCAGCCTCTTTGCAGATAACAAGAGCTTTCAGAACAAGAAACTTGTATATTCTGTGCAGCTCAAATAAAATTAAGAAGCTGAACATCAGTTGACAAGAGTAAAAACTAATTGGGAGTTGACAGGAAAATAAACTCTCATTTATGAAAATGTAGCTTATTCCACAACACCAGATTTCAAAAGATACAGAATCCTGTTGCTCCACAATTCAATTTGTCCCACAGTAAGAAACTTTAATTTATAAATTACTATAAGTCATTTCACTGCATGTAAGTGTTTTATTTACATCCAATAGTACAAAGTATTTGTTGTATTTCTTTTAAAAATTACAGTAAAATATTCTTTATAAAGTAGATAACTAATGCCCACATAAAGAACAAGAAATAATGCAAACCTCAAACCTGGCTAATCATAACAAAAATGGAATGAATCCAATATAAAATTTTTTGGACAGGTCTTTGGTTTACATGATCATTTACTCTCCAGCCAAAATTACGTTTAGTCCTTTAGTTTTTCCAGCTATCCAAATAAACCTGAGGTTGTTTTCCAACTCTGAGTCCTGAATTGCACACTGTCAAAAATGTACCTACAAATGTATTTCAAATTTACTATCTTTTCAAAGAGGATTAGGTTTTAGTTTTTAAAAACTGTTTTAGAACATGAATTGCCATTTCCTGGGAGGGGCCTATGTAGAAACTTAGGAAACCTCCAAACCATGGCAGGTTCACAAATGCTTTGTCCCTGGCATAGATTTCCTTATACTGAATCCTGGCTCTGCCATTTACTAGCTGTGTGACTGGAAAAGTTATTTCATTATTATTTATTCAATATCTTCATCTGTAAAATGGGTATAATATGGAATTATACCTACTTTATATGATTATCTATAATAATTCCTGTGAGGATTAAATTACTTAATCATGGAAACCTCACAGAACAGCATCTGCCATGTAGTAAAATTCAATAGTATTTCACTTGTATTTAATGATAACAAAGGCTTTTTTGACTCTGGAACCAGAGTAATCAAAGGTAATGAAAGAAAGAAACTCAGTCCTAATCCTTCTTTCCTTAATGACTGCTAAGCTGATATGAGCATAGGGATCCTGTTGGTCATTATTCCTGACTGAATGGAAGAATCTGCCTGTAGTAGGAGAGGAAAAGCCAACAGGCAAAGAGAAATAAAGACAAGGAAAAACATTCTGAGAGCCAGTTCTAGCCCTTAGGCACTAGGAAGGGCTTAGAACTTTGTAGCTGTTTCTCTGATTCCCCAATAAATTCCTTTTCATTTTATTTTGTTTTTACTTAAGTTGGGGTTATTTTTCTGTTACTTAGAAGTAACAGGTCATCGCTGGAACATGGGACTAAGTTACTGACACCTGGATGAAACAGGCAGAAAGATCACACACTTACTTAAGGTTTGTCAGGCTGTTGGGCCTCAGTCTAACTCCAGAGTCCATTTCACCAGGCCCTTTCCTCGGGACCTTTGACACTGGGAGGGACAGAAAGATGGCATAGGATGAACTCAGGAAAGTGAAGTAGGAAGGGAAGAAATCATAGAAAAAGAAACAGGTTGTCTATGGCTCTGGGATGAATAACTTTTTCCCCAAAGTGGGACTTCAGAATTCTAACAATAATTCCAAATAGGAGACTCCACAATATTCAGAACACAGAAAAATCATTTAAATAAAGGTAGACCCACACAAGGACTATTTTGGATTCTTACTTATACATAAAACCAACTATTTACTAAGAAGTTCAGCATGTTAATCATTTAAAATGCCCTAAGAGGAAAATTTAAGTTTCTGGTGACAGTTGCAATCTACTCTTTTATAACAAAGTTCAAGACTTATGGCTGAGATTATTCTTTTATTCTTGCAGGACTTTGAATCACATAATTTAATGATACACAGCACATCTGAGGCCAATGCCTAAAAGTATCAGAGTTCTCAACTGATGAACCAAAAAAATAGTACACGAACTAATAAGGAAAAGTTGAGAATGAGTAAATTCACATATTATAAAGTATATAACATCAGGAAGGTGAGCTAAATGTCCAGTTCTCACAATGTGGCAGCATAAGAGAGCAGAAATGCCTGCTGTCTAAGCTACCAACTGCTGTCTAATGTCAATTCTAATTACAATAAATGAATAGTTTTAAAAAGACAGCAAAGTAGGAATCCATGAGTCAGTTTCCCCAAAGTCCATCTGTGGCTGACTTAAAAAGCAGCTACAAATTCTTCCCTCTTCATCCAAGCCCTTTGGTGGTACCCTTCCATGGTGACTGGACTTGGCTATGTGATTTACTTTGTCCAGCGAAACAGTGGCAAACATAAAACAAGCAGCAACTTGAAAACTACTTGTATATTGTGGTTCGCCCTTTCTTGATCCTCTTCCGACCCCTGATAAGGCCACCATGTTAACATTTCCAGACTAGCAAGGTGGACACATATAGTCCAGGCTTCCCAACAACCCCAGTTGATAGGTGGTCACACTCTTTTGTTTTGACATGCAAAATGGTTTAGCTGAACTTGTAGGTGTAACTGAGACCAGCAGAAAATCACACAGTTCAGCCCAGTCCAAATTGCTGACCAACAGAATTACGAGCTAAATAAATAGTTGTTGTTTTATTTATTTATATAATACAATATTTGTATAAATATTGTACTAGTTGTAAATAGTTGTTTAAACTATAATGATTATTGCTATTTGGTTTGTAATTATCAATTTGTTGATATTCACTTTATGTTGTGCTCTATAAGAGCAAAAACAAGATACTGATTTTGAATGTAAAATTCTATAGAATTGCTTAGTAAGGATAATAAACCGCTATACCAAATCATATATGAGTAAATCAGTGCAAATTAAGTCATGCTTTTGAGAATCACAAGAACTATTTCATTATGTATAAGATTTCTCTATTTTTAATTGGCAAGGTAGATAACATAAATGAACACTGGAAGCCACAGATAAGTGAGTTGACTGTATTTGTTTTCAGGGTCAGACAGTACTGTGGGTAGATGGCATCCAATAATGGTCTTGCTTATTTTGATAGCTTTTTAATATTATTTGATATGCTAGATTTGGAAAGATCTAGGTAAAAATTTAGGTATGATGGTCCACAATTTAAAAAGCACCAATATGACATCAAACATTAAATTCAAGCTAATCCTCAGTGACTCAGAGCTCCAACATCTTCAGAGAGCAACTTTGGAACTGAATGCCTGAAGAATTTATCGATACAACTGCAAGACAAAGGATATTGTTTTTAAATGGGTAAATGGCAAAAGAGAAACGAGCCACAACTACAACTGCTGATGTTGCAAAGAGAAATGCCTTTTTATCTTTAGCCTTGATTTCTTTTCATGTCTTTATTTTTCTATACATATTAATATGTGATAATATTTTAATTTTAAATAGCATCAGACAGACATTCACTGGTGATGTTTGTCAAATGTTTTATATCAAAGCAAATCACCACCACCATAATTCTAATTATCAAAAATACAAAGTAGAGAATTTTCCTTTTACAGCTGGCATAAACACACACACGTACACACATGGGCATGCGCACACAAATATATTTCTAAGAAATGTTTATTTAGAACATTACGTTATTTAGGACATTACTTATTTTTAAATGTTAAATGTTTCTAAATAATAAATATATATAAATTTCTAAATAAATATTCTGCATATTTATATAAAAGGAATATAATATATTACATATTAAAATCATTAATACAAATATTAAGTATATTAATACAAATAAATAATTGCAAAAAAGCATTAATAATACAAAGTATTAATAATGAAATATTGCAAAAATTGAATAAATTGATATGGTTTGGTCATGTTAGTGACCATAGAAAGTCTACACATTGGTGAGCCAAGATTGCGCCACAGCACTCCAGCCTGGGAGACAGAGCGAGACTCCGTCTCAAAAATAAAAAAAATAAAAAAAAGAAATAAGAAAAGAAAGTCTATACATTGATTGGTTGATCTAAATCCTGACTCTCTTCTAATCCACAGCCTCCCAGCTATTTTTCTTTTAGGAAGGCATTCTAGTGGAAAAATATATTGGCCTTTGAGCATTAAGGTAGTTGCATTTTAGATAAAAGAATAGAAAATAAGTACTCCATAGAGTGTTGCTAGACTAAAATTTAGTAGACTTAAATTTAACCAGAGTTTTGTATTTAAATAATATAAAATTATTCTAGTTTGGTCTCCTTGGGCATCTAGTTATTCATATTCATTAAGTCAGTCAAAAGCTCTTTCTTGAACATTTGCTATGTTTATATGCTGGCTATTTGTGAATGTGACAGACACAGTCTTTGGATTCATGAAGCTTATAGTCTAGTAAGAAATACAGATAAGTAAGTTAGCAACTTGAATGGTGTGATGATGGCTATAAGTACAGAAAAACATATTCAGTTATGAGGAGGAGAGCAACGTCATGAAAAGCTTCCTGACATTATATATCCCTTTATATCTTACCTTTTCATTGCATATTGTTATGCATACTGCTACAGCAAACTGCAAATGAAGAGCTTCAGGAACTTGGCAAATAATCATTGATTGGCCCAGTTATTATATTTTTATGGGAGCCATAAGAAAAAATAGGGAAAATAAAACCACACATATATACTTGTATTTATTACATTAAAATGTTTCCGGTTGTTATAAAAATGGCATATTGCTATATTGGCTGTATCAATGGATATTTTTCTTGTTCATACCTCCTTATCATGAGAGCAGCTAGAACTGTTTCTAAATAAAGCTGAAGCAACATGAGAATTACATTTTTAATGTAACCTATTCTGCTATGCTGGCCATAACTAAGGACCATGGATGGCATCTGAGTCAAAGGAAAATATTCATAGGTGATATTGAGTGAGTCCTAGTATGGCTCAGATGGAAGCCTATTGTGTGTGTTGTGAGTGGGAACCAGAGTAGACCAATTAGAATCTATCTCTGTGGGTTTCAGTGTGCTGAAGGAGACAGAAGATGAAAAAGAAGGTAGATATTTTGAACTCAACTTTTATCCCAAGTCTCACTTCTTGATGAGGCTTTGCTATACATTCCAATGTTAAAGTTCTGGGGCCCACCAGGGAGAGACTATGTAGATGGAAGCAAAATATCCTCTCCTAACTCATGTTTCTCTACTCTCAACGACTTTCCTTATTTCTTCCTTGCATTGGTAAAATGCCCAACTAATGTAATTCTAAATAATGTACCAAATGTAACATTTATTTTAGAACATCAAATGGAACATTTAGAACATTTTAGAACATCACTGTTTTGGGAAGACAAGGTCATTAACTGTAATAATTAGCAAGTATACAAAAAAGTGACCAAAATCTGTGTCTTTTCAACTTAAAGAAGGAACTGACATTTTAAATGATGTAAAAAGCCATTTTAAAACATTCCTGAAGATAGCAACAAAGAATGACTCAATTATCTAACACTATTTAACATCATACAAAAATTATGATAAAAGTTAATAAAACTATTTGGTGTATTGCCTCAGTCATATTAAATAAATCATGCATGACCCTTATACTGTGTGCAATTAACAGCCATTTAATAATTTTTGTATGTATTTTCCTTTCTCATTTGATCTAATAGGTTCACCTTCCTAGGTTCACACAGCATGTTAATGGCAGAGCCAGGACTTGAATCCAGGTATTCTGACTCTAGCTCAAGTGTTCTGTATTTATAGCTGCCTTACTGTTTTAGACAAAGACAGTCTATCAAAATTTAGTGTGTAGCAGAAAGTTGGTTGGTTTTTATTTTGTTCAATGTATTTCTCCTTTATTTATTAGAGAAAAGTTATTTCAATAATTACAAAATAGTTATCAATTCGAATATTTTAAAGGTTTTGATCTTGGTTAATTTACCCTTATCAAATATTAAGCCTAAATTACAAAACCCTTAAAAAATATGAACGCCAAATTCAATTAGAATTTTTTTCTTAGATGCCTGCTAATTATTTCTCATAATAAGCAGTTTTCTTCCAAAAACTACACCATTATTTCAGTTTGATGAAAATTTGTTCCTGATGGAGGAAAACTGGATTTGGAAGATAGAAAAATTAAGTTAATCCTCTGGCATTGTAATGATAAACATTTAACTCAGAATTTACTGAAAAAAAAATTAGAGTATACCTAGAGATTCAGATTACATGCAAACAAATTTACAGTTTTCCAAATTGCATTATTTGTCTTTTGAGACTGAGAAAATCTCATTGGATGATCAATAGTTCACAGAATTTTTCATATGTTAATAAAGAGAAAAAATTAACACAAGGAAAGGTCCAGTATAATACCAAACATTATAAAACAGAAAAGATCCATAGTCTATCAACTTTCTAGCTACACAGAATTCAAATATCAAGCTAGGTGTCAGGTTGCATTATATGTAACTCAAAACCATTTGGAGATTTGGAGAAACTTCCAAATTGCATTCCTTTCAGAAAGCTAAAATCCATGACTATTTAAAAAAATTTACCTTCCATGTCACTCACATTACATAACAAATAGAATCACTTTGCTTTCATTCTTTATCAAGCAACCTACTCTATAGCACAGCTATCAGAGAATGGCAGGGTGCTTTTCTAATGGCCTGATTAATGGAAACAAGAATTTCCCATACAGAAGCTTTTGGAAGCCTTTTATTACTATATATACATTACTATATTTTTATTACTCTCTCTATATTACTATATATATACAACAAATTCCACATTTATTAAAACTATTTATAAATTCCAGGTTTGACTTGTATTCCAATTGGAAAGAAAGAAAATATCAAGGTTTCTACACATTCTTTTTTTTTGAGACGGAGTCTCGCTCTGTCCCCCAGGCTGGAGTGCAGTGGCGCGATCTTGGCTCACTGCAAGCTCCGCCTCCTGGGTTCACGCCATTCTCCTGCCTCAGTCTCCCAAGTAGTTGGGACTACAGGAGCCCGCCACCCACCCCCCCCACCCAGCTAATTTTTTGTATTTTTAGTAGAGACAAAGTTTCACAGTGTTAGCCAGGATGGTCTCGATCTCCTGACCTCGTGATCCGCCTGCCTCGGCCTCCCAAAGTGCTGGGATTACAGGCATGAGCCACCGCGCCCGGCCCTACATATTCTCTATTTTTTTTTTTAAGATGGAGTCTTGCTTTGTTGCCCAGGCTGGAGTGCAATGGCACGATCTCAGCTCACCGCAACCTCCGCCTCCCGGGTTCAAGCGATTCTCCTGTCTCAGGCTCCAGAGTATCTGTGATTACAGGCATGCGCCACCACGCCCGGCTAATTTTATATTTTTAGTAGAGACAGGGTTTCTCCATGTTGATCAGGCTGATCTCGAACTCCTGATCTCAGGTGATCCACCTGCCTCGGCCTCCCAAAGTGCTGGGATTACGGGCGTGAGCCACTGTGCCAGGCCTTACATATTCTTAATTACGGGGAATAGAATGCAGCTATGATTATCTGCTTCAAGCTTCTAACCACATGTTTTCAAAATGCTCAATGACAAAAATAAGCAAATATATTTGCTTAAAGCTAAAAATGTTCAAAGAATGCATTTTTTAAAAAAAAATGAAAAATTGACTAGCATCTGTGACATTATGAAGGTAAGTAAAATGGTACCAAGTTCCTGTCAGACTAATAACTGGAAAAGATGTCCAGGAGTGCCACCTTGAGAGAAAATTTAAGACAATGCATTTTGAAAACAAAATTGGCATAAAGGGTTTCAATGTTGCTCATCACAGTTACCCCAACTAAAGGACATCACTGTAAATTTTTATAGTACAAGTGAAGAGATAAGCATGGTCTTTCAACTCAGATCCTATTATATTCTTCTGTCTTTTCATATCAGTATTCCACATGTATTTCATTCCAATGTGCCTCTTGGATATTATTTTAATGGAGAAAGGTATTCTTAGAGTCATTGGTATGTGAAGAAAGGATTTCTCTCTTTTTTTCTACTCTTTCTGGTGGTTCCTTTCTCTGTCTTCAGTCTTCCTACTTACTCTCTTCCTTCTTTTCCTAGCAATACCCCTAAAGTTCTCATGCTCATGATCCCCAGAAATACTTGTGCTTATGTGTGGGCAGGCAGTGTGTGGGTATGTGTGGGGGATATGGTTGGAGAGCTGGAGGGAATAGAATAAGACATTCTCATATGCTTTTATAATATTAATAACCAATTAGCTTTAATGTGTTACTTTTCCTTGCATTTCCTGCATTTTATGATACATTTCCCTGCATTTCAAAGAACAAAATTTATGACCAAGACATAGATTTCTAGATGTGGCTAAGTAAAAACTACTGACTTAGATCAAGATCATCCCCTCCCATGGTTCTCCACAGCCCAGGGCCTGTTTATACCTCTGAAACCTTACAATGTATTTGGCCCAAAGACCCAATGTATACATTAAACACACACACACACACACACACACACACACACACACACATACAGAGTGAAGATTCTAGGTCAAGCTAGGTTTCATCTAAATTTGATTTTTTCACTAGACCTTTAGAGAGTGATAGGGTTGCAAGGAAAATATAAAAATTACAAAGAATAGTACTTACTGAGAAAGACTGATAGGGTACCTGTTACAGGTCATGAAACGTTTCTCCTAAGACTGCATCTCTCCTCCTGGCTTCAAACCCTTTCAGATCAAATATTTTAGGGAGGTCTCCAAAACTCCTCATGTTTCTGATGGAGAGCAACCTTCTCTCTGGCTTCTGCATCACTTACAACAGGATCTACAGGAGAGTGGAGGGCCTGTCTCACAGAGCCATTCTACTGGTGCGAACTGAAACCTGGCTATCGAATCTAAATAACTATGTTTCTCTCCACACCAATTTATCTGTGGGTCTCTGCGTGGGACATATGCTTTCCTTGCTCCTCACTGTATACAGCAGAGCACTGTTCTTACTTTCTTCCTAAAAATAACCTCAGTTCTTTGGATGCACAGGCCATCAGATGATGCAAGTTTAGCAGGAATCAGTATAGCGCCCTGGTTAAGAGGGCATGTTCTGGAGCCGCATTTCCTGTTTGTAAACTATTTCAATTCCCTATGACTTATTTTCCTTGTCAGTAAAAATGGGGATCATAATAGCATTTGCCTTAGGGCATCTCTATGAGGCTTAAATAAATTCATGTTCAATATTTAGACTGGTGCCTGTCACATAGCACTGCATAAGTGTTGGCCACTGTCACCACCTGCTTCTCAGCCATATGGTTTGCATCACATTATTCTGCCTGAAATGCTTTCTGCAGTGTCTCCACAGGTTTCCATACAAATAATCTCCAGTGTGAATTTCTCCATGAAGTATGTCTTTGTCCCTTCAGTCAGATGTGATTTCTATTCTCATGTAAACACCCTAGCTCTTATATTCCTCCTCAGTGATAATCATATTGTACTTTGCATTAGTTAGCCCCCATTAGGCGAGTTCATCTTGTCTAGAGTAGGTCACTTTTGCGTTTCTTGATACCGTTTTTTTCACACAAGGTTCCCTCAAGTTGTCATTGCATTTAATAACAAATACTACGATAAACTTTGTTAGAGGACCATATTAGAAGGTGATATGGTTTGGCTGTGTCCTCAACCAAATCTCATCTTGAATTTTAGCTCCCATAATTCCCAGGTGTCATGGGAGGGACCCAGGGGGAGGTAACTAAATCATGGGGGCAGGTCTTTCCCATACTCACTCCTAGTAGTGAGTAAGTCTCACGAGAGCCAATTGTTTTATAAATGGGAGTTGTCCTGTGTAAGCATTCTCTTTGCCTGCCACCATGTAAAATGTGACTTTGCTCCTCCTTCACCTTCTGCCATGATTGTGAGGCCTCTGCAGCCATGTGGAACTGTGAGTTGATCAAACCTCTTTCCTTTATAAATTACCCAATCTCGGGTATGTCTTTATTGGCAGCATGAGAATGGGCTAATACAGAAGTCCATATTCCAAAAACTTACTGTTGCCACCTAAACTATTTTCAGGAATTCTCCCTTTTAGTTTCACAAAACCAAAAATAACACCCACAACTTCCTTATCTAATAAACAGAAAGACTACACATAACACATGTTAACTACAATCAAGACAAGGTTCTTAGGCAGGTCATGGTAGAGGAGCTTTTATTATATTAGCTTTCCAGTAGATTGACTCATTTAAAAAGGGAAAAAATCTTTTTGGAAACATTGAAGAGTAAACAAAAGAAGGCAGGAACTGGATGGACTCAGTTGAAAGATCTCACTGGGTGAGATCCATGTTTATATGGCTTTTCCCCCAGAGGGCACACCCTAGTTAGAAAGGTGCAGTATGATTGGTTTGAGGTGTGAAAGGATGGAACTCAGGACTGCTAGAGTAGCTGTAATTAGGAGAAATCTCAGAAAAGAGGGAGTCACAGAAGAAGGGAATCCCAAAATCTGTGTATAAGTCCTGGGCTGACCTCTGAGCTGCATATGATAAGAGAAACTCGAAGACACCCAATGGAAAGTAAGAGGTGGAAGTCTGCAAACACAGAGTAGGGACCACTTTCTTTTTTTTCACCACAAGACCCAAAGACTGGGGCTTGAACCCTGCCAAGTTAGATGTGTTTGGTAAATACTCTGAGCTTCCTACAGACCTAGCCTAAAAAAGAAACCCAAGCCCCAACAAGTTCAAGGTGATCAGCCAGTAATTTAACTGCTTTCTATTATTATGAGAATAAAAGGAAGATTATACAGACACCCAGGCTAGTTATGAGCACACATCACAGGTATTTAAAAAGATTTGGTTCTATTTTAAAATGACTAATAAAGCTTAGCATTAGGGAGGTGGTAGACAGGGGAAAATGGCTAACAGGACAGTGTGAGGGAAATACAAAGCTTCTAATACTTGGTTTAGGATAAGAAAATGTGTTAAATAGACACAACTCCCTCTCCCTCTCCCTCTCCCCACGGTCTCCCTCTCTCTCTCCCTCTTTCAATGGTCTCCCTCTGATGCCCAGCCGAAGCTGGACTGTACTGCTGCCATCTCTGCTCACTGCAACCTCCCTGCCCGATTCTCCTGCCTCAACCTTCCGAGTGCCTGCGATTGCAGGCGCGCGCCGCCACGCCTGATTGGTTTTCGTATTTTTTTGGTGGAGACAGGGTTTCGCTGTGTTGGCCGGGCTGGTCTCCAGCTCCTATCCGGGAGTGATCTGCCAGCCTCGGCCTCCCGAGGTGCCGGGATTGCAGATGAAGTCTCATTCACTCAGTGCTCAATGTTGCCCAGGCTGGAGTGCAGTGGCGTGATCTCGGCTCGCTACAACCTCCACCTCCCAGCCGCCTGCCTTGGTCTCCCAAAGTACCGAGATTGCAGCCTCTGCCCGGCCGCCACCCTGTCTGGGAAGTGAGGAGCATCTCTGCCTGGCCACCCATCGTCTGGGATGTGAGGAGCCCCTCTGCCCGGCTGCCCAGTCTGGGAAGTGAGGAGCGCCTCTTCCCGGCCACCATCCCGTCTAGGAAGTGAGGAGCATATCTGCCCGGCCGCCCATTGTCTGAGATGTGGGGAGCGCCTCTTCCCCGCCGCCCCGTCTGGGAAGTGAGGAGCGCCTCTGCCCAGCGCGACCCCGTCTGGGAGGTGAGGAGCGTCTCTGGCCGGCTGCCCCGTCTGAGAGGAGCCCCTCCACCCGGCAGCCGCCCCCTTTGAGAACTGAGGAGCCCCTCCGCTCGGCAGCCGCCCCGTCCGGGAAGTGAGGAGCATCTCCGCCCAGCAGCCACCCCATCCGGGAGGTGGGGGGGGTCAGCCCCTGCCCGGCCAGCCGCCCCGTCCGGGAGGGAGGTGGGGGGTCAGCCCCCAGCCGGCCAGCCACCCCGTCCGGGAGGGAGGTGGGGGGCAGCCCCCGCCCGGCCAGCCGCCCCGTCTGGGAGGTGGGGGGGTGCCTCTGCCCGGCCACCCCTTCTGGGAAGTGAGGAGCCCCTCTGCCCGGCCGCCACCCAGTCTGGGAGGTGTACCCAACAGCTCATTGAGAACGGGCCATGATGACGATGGCGGTTTTGTCGAATAGAAAAGGGGGAAATGTGGGGAAAAGATAGAGAAATCAGATTGTTGCTGTGTCTGTGTAGAAAGAAGTAGACATAGGGGACTCCATTTTGTTCTGTACTAAGAAAAATTCTTCTGCCTTGGGATGCTGTTGATCTATGACCTTACCCCCAACCCGGTGCTCTCTGAAACATGTGCTGTGTCCACTCAGGGTTAAATGGATTAAGGGCGGTGCAAGATGTGCTTTGTTAAACAGATGCTTGAAGGCAGCATGCTCCTTAAGACTCATCACCACTCCCTAATCTCAAGTACCCAAGGACACAAACACTGCGGAAGGCCCCAGGGTCCTCTGCCTAGGAAAACCAGAGACCTGTGTTCACTTGTTTATCTGCTGACCTTCCCTCCACTATTGTCCTATGACCCTGCCAAATCCCCCTCTGCGAGAAACACCCAAGAATGATCAATAAAAAAAAAAAAAAAATAGACACAACACATTATAAAATATTATCAAACATGAATTTATTTAGAAACAAAATAAAAACATGCTATTTGAACAAACTTTTTTATAAAGAATAAGTTGACTGAAAAGCAGTTTTAAATAACATCAACTCACAAATGACTTTTAGAAGCCAAATAAACATTTCTATTTTAGAGAATAGTATGTAATACATAACTTAAAAGCATATAGAACACATATTCCTACATTCTTAAAAATAAGAGATTGTGATTCCACAGAGAATTTTTCAAATATCTAAAGTATGTCCTGTTAAACCAACAATTTGCTTCCAAACAGGAGTCTCTTTTGAGAAGCTAAATATTAATTTTCAAACAACTATTTCTCCATTTGTTAACTGGAATCATTCATATTAAAACAAAGGTCTTTATGTCAATGTATGTTAATATGGCTGAAGGCTCCAGCCCTGAGTTATTTTTTTACTTCCTTAAATTCATAATTACAACATATATCAATTTGAGGTATCATGACAAAAACAGAAACAAAAGACACAATGGTAGATGAGAATCTATCTCCCTGTGGAAGAGGCAAAATTAGTGTGGACCTCATTTTTCTGACCTATAAAACTAGGAAGTATAATCACATTACTTGCGACAATTTTTCCTTCTAAAATGCCATGAATTTGAAGGTAGACTTCATGCCTTTCTCCATCATAACAATAGAGTTAAGAATATTGATTTTGGAGTCAGGCTGCCTGGTTACGAATCCCAGCTCAGACAGTTATTTTGTAATCTTGGAAAAAATACTTCACCTCTCTATACTAAGTTTCCCCATGTGTACGGTACTGATCTCATAGAGTTGTTATGAGACTAACATGGGTAAATCACTTTATAACAGTGGCTGATACAATGTTACACGAGTTTTCAAATGAGATATCATCACTCATTGTTTGTGGGAAAAGATTCTAACTATGTCATATGAATGAAGTATGCCATATGCAAAGATCATATCATATGGGAAGATATATTAGGTTAAATCGTCTAATGATTACAAAACACAAAGTGAGGTTTTTTTTGTTTGTTTTTTTTACATTTATCTTAGCTTCATACAACGCAGAAAACATTTGAATAACATTAGATAAATAGATATAAATGATTATAAATCTTTGTGGTTTAAAACAATAAAACACTATAAAAGAGTTTAATTCAGACTAATAAAAGTTTAACTACAACACTTGGAAATGTAGCACAATATCTCCACCTAGTGGACACCTTAAAAATTTTTACAGATAGTGCTCAGCCTTTTTTTATCACTGGCGGAAAACTTTTCAAATAGAAGTAATTTCACGAATATAGAGGGATAAAAAATAGAAAATAAGTTAAACACTATATTACCAGTGCTCCAAAACATCACCGCTAAAATACATTTTAGTAAGTTGTATAACTCAAATGTTTTTCTAAAACAGGGTGTAATAGAGTCAAATAGTAGTTTTGGTTTAGAAACTTAAAATATACCAAAGACAGCATGTAAGTCATCAGAAATACTTGACCATGACTTAGCAATTAATTTTTAAAAATTAGCTGTAACAAAATTTAGAATTTAAAAATTACAGAGCTTTAAAGATGTCAGATACCTTTAAAAGACATTTGAACTACTTGCTATCTAACTCTTGTGTAGTATCTTTGATAAATAGAAATCTTATCTCCAATGAATGAGAATCTTACTTTTTTTCTGGGCTTGTTTCCCTAAAAAGACTAAACAATTAGAAGTTATGCTTTTCATGATTTGCAATCTAATTGTTGACCTCTGATTTACACTTCAGGCAATACAGAATTAAGTCCAATCTTTCAAATAATTATTCTTCAAGAGAGCTTATCAAGTGATAGAATTTCCACTTATCCAAATTAAATATCCCACATAATTTTAGTCATTTATCTTACAACAAAATTATAAGGAGTTATCATGTTGTTCATGCTCTTTTGAACAGTTTGTAGCATTTTAAAAAATGACTATATCCAGTACAAAAATAACACGTCATGAATGGTTTGGAAACTGCAGAGAGCAAACATGGATTTTCACCTCTCTCTCCATATACTACTTCTTTTGATTTAAAAAAAATTGAAAAAAAACTTTTCATAGTGAGGCAGAATATGACGGTCAAAAACTCACAGGCTTGGGAGTCATACCAATCTATGTTCATTTAGTGACAGTGTGGACTTTGGGCAAATCACCTGACCTGACCGACCTTCAGTTTCTTCAGCAGTCAAAGAGAAATCAACATCTGCCTCATAGAAATATAAATGTAGCATCAAATGAGACAATATTTGTAAATCAGCTAGTATAATGCCTAAAACATTATAGGTGTTCAATGAATGATGGCAACCATCATTATTATTGTTACTTTTTCTCCTTTTTTCATCTTATATATGCCATACACACACATATATGGTTCAACTAAACTGAATTAAGTTTCACTGTGAAAAACCAATACATTTAATATTTTTCTTGTTGGAAGCTGGCACAGTGGCTCATTGTAAATCCTAGCACTTTGGGAGGCCAAGGTGGGAGGATCACTTGAGGCAGGTGTTTTGAGACCAGCCCACACAACATAGTGACACCCTGTCTCAATTCTTACAAAAAAAAAAAAGGAGAAATTATATGTATACACACACACATACATTACATATATACAAATTTGTATATATAAATACGTATATATTTGTATATATAAATATATATATATGTATTTTCTTTTCCTTGTTAGAAAAATACTGTATTGTCTTTTGGTCTGATGGTGATAGGCTGAGATAAAATTTAATTAACATTAAATTCATCAAAAATTTATCTCTTAAAAAAGCACAATATAGAGATATTATATTGTGACAGAATTTCTTACCCTAGAAATAATTTTTCAAATCTCAAATATTAAATATTAGTGTTGACTCATGGATATATGTTAAAAATATGTCCTCAATCTCTATTTTTATTATAATTTTCTCAGTTACACAAGTTTTTGTATATTGGAAACGTCAGTTGTCAACATTAAATACATAAAAATGCCCTATATAAAAAATAATTAACAGCTATTCCTAGAGTGGTAAAATGTAGCCCAACTAAAAAAAACAAAGTATTTGTAATTAGTTGAAATGTCTTTTACCTTTAAATTCTTTAACCTGTTATTCGTTGAAGGTTACTGATTTTTCTTATTTTAAATAGAAATAAGAATATTTTCTTATTTTAAATAAAAAGCAATTATTTTGAAATTATACCCTTAATAGGGTATAAAGTTTCTTTAATAAGAAACTTTCCTTTAAAGTGTTATAACCTTTTAATGGTTGAAAGTTATTTGTTTTTCTTATTTTAAATAAACAGTAATTATGTTGAAATCATATCCTATCAAAGAAACAACATGTTTACAAGTAAATACATGTATAAGCATTAAATGCTAGCAGGGGTCTCCAATCTTTTGGCTTCCCTGGGCCACACTGGAAGAACCATCTTGGGCCACACATAAAATACACGAACACTAATGATAGCTGATGAGCTAAAAAATAAAATAAAATAAAATAAAATAATAAATAAAATAAAATAAAATAAAATCACAAAATATCTCATCATGTTTTAAGAAAGCTTACAAAATTTGTGTTGGGGCCGCATTCAAAGCCATCCTGGGCTGCATGTGGCCTGTGGGTTGAACAAGCTTGCACTAAGGCAAATAAAAATTGTTAACACTGGGTCAGAAAATTACACAGAAAAATGTTTAGGATGACTCTTATTATGAAACATGATTTACTTCCTAAAATTAGCCACGGTTATGTAGGATGTTTTTTCTATTCACTTCACTCTATACTAAAAACTTCATTCAGTATATATTTACTCAATATTTATCATATGACATACTTATAAATATTATGAGTATATGGCAGGAATGAATCCTTTTTAAAATAAGGTTATACACATACCAATCAGACACTGACTAGAGTTAGGACAAATACTATTCTCATTTGAAATGAGGACTAAAGACTAAACCACTTGCCTTATTGATCCCAGAGCCACAACCAAATATAAAAATCTTAACTCCCATGTTAAATGTTTTTTTCTACAAGCCCACAGTTCCTAAGTCATATTTCAATTTCCATTTAAAAATTTTCAAATTTATATCACAATTCTTACTTGCTTCACTTTTTAATGAAATTCCAATTACTTCAAAGATAATAAACGCTTGCTAACCTAATAAACACAAAATTTATTTCTTCATGTGAATAAATATTTTATTTAAAAGTGAGTCCAAAATAACAGTCCACTATTTAGGTGGTATAAATAAAAATGGTAGATCCCTTCCTCTCTCCTCTCTTCCAACAATTCTAAGGAAAATAATATCAAGCCAAGTGGCAATTAAGTTCAAACTAGAAATACATTTCATTAAGCTACGTATTTATTAGAAATAAATTACATTAGGCTATTTACACAAGTTATTTTATGACTGGCTATGCACATTTCAGAAATAACTCTAAGAAGACAAAGAAAAGGCCAGACAGCTAAAATAATTTATCTTGCCAAAATGAGATGCTAAGTTTAAACTGAGAGATGCTATCTTTCCAAATCATTTAAATACATAGACGCAGTTCAAAAGATTCCTGACTATCCATTAATGGAAAACATAAACGTTAACAAAATTCACAGCATACCTGAATCTTACTCATGCTACCTAAAGATAACATATCTCTAGAATTTCACAGAAGATAGAATCAGTTCAAAATGATGTATTACTGAACCTATAATGATTTATGGACTAGATATTTTTATGACACTTTTCAAAATAGACATACTCACAGACTTTAGTAATGGTAACTGTAGGGCTCCAGATGCCCTCGAGCAGGGCAATATTTTTTTCATAATCACCTAATTTTAATCAATTCAGCTAAGTCTAATGTTTAAAAATTCATGAAAAAATATCTATCTACTCAATAACTTTTGAAAACACAAATATAACTAAGAATGTTTCTAAAAGCAAGGATCTAAACACCTAAGAATGGTCTTCTCAGTTGTTTCAAGTGAATGACTTTGAGTTTAGTATCATTTCTTGAACGACTAAAGGCAAAATGATCTGTTGTGCCAAGTTCTTACATAATCATTTTATCTGTTATCTATTTTGGAAAATTCACCAGCAAATGGCCATCTTTGAACTGCCTAGAAAATTTAACGAAGACATTTATCTTAAATTCGAAAGTATTGATAAGCATTCCTGTTTTAAAATAATAAATAGTTGAAAATAGCACCTTTTAATACATGGCATTCTTTTCTTAAAATGCCAAGTACTATATTTTATGTATTTTATAAAAAATGTGGAAGATTAACCTGTTTCTCTCTGAATGTAGATTTTCACCAAAACATCTCTTAAACAGCAGGGACTCAACACTTAAAAATGAACTAGAAGAGCTGGGCACAGTGGCTCACGCCTGTAATCCCAGCACTTTGGGAGGCGAGGCAGGTGGATTACCTGAGGTCAGGAGTTCGAGACCAGCCTGGCTAACACGGTGAAACCCCGGCTCTACTAAAAATAGAAAAAATTAGCCAGGCTTGGTGGTGGGCGCCTATAATCTCAGCTACTCGGGAGGCTGAGGCAGGAGAACTGCTTGAACCCAGGAGGTGGAGGTTTCAGTGAGCCAAGATCGCGCCATTGCATTCCAGCCTGGGGGACAAGAGCGAGACTTCTCCTCAAAGACAAAAACAAACAAAAAAAGATATAGAACAGTGATCCCTCCAAAGAGCAGTCTTCTTTAATTACAGGGTAGAATATTTTCCTCAATTTTGCCAGACTAGATCAGAGTGGAAGCTTCTCCTCTCAGAAGTATTCCTAAATACAAAATCCTTGCATTAATATTATCAGACAAAAAGTTACTTTCCCTAAATTACACATTCTTTTTTCAATTTTGACTTCCCAGATTTAGTTCTCCACTATAGTAAATTAATGACAAAAGTATAATTTCTTTGAGTGTCCTCTCTCATCTAATTTTTAAGAAGTCTGGGTAAAACACGTTTTTCTACAATCACTGTTATAACTAATGCCGATCTATTTTCTGAGTACTAGAGTACAACCAAAAAATGGCCTGCATTTATTACTCAAATTATACTTGTAATTTTCACCTGCACACAATTTTATATTTGTAAATGTAGACTCATCACTTAAAACTCAGAGAAGCAAAATTTGACATTGAGGGGAAAGTAATTTGTTCACTTATAGCTACTTTTAAAGTTTAGAAACATAAAATTATGTTAAAAGATGAGTTCTATTCACAATTCTAAGTTTACATGTCAAAGTTAACATGCCCAAATAATACTTTCCTGTAATGGAATGACAACCCAAAAAATACACTCAAAATAATAAACACAAAATTCAAAAAGTAACACAAAATAATCCTACCCCAGCAGTTGTTCCCTAATCTACAAAGTCAGACCAAAGGATTTCTCAACTTTCTTTCAATTCTGACTTTTTTTAATAGATAATGGAATCAAACACTAGTCACCTTTAGCTTTATATTACCTAAGAAGTCACTTATTTTTTAACCTCTCAGTAAAGATACTGAGAGTTATTTAAAAGGTATCAGCTAAGATATTATCTCCTGATCCAACAATCCCACTTCTGGCTATTTATCCAGAAGATTTGAAATCCGTATGTCAAAGAGAAGTCTGCACTCTATGTTCATTGCAGACAAGTCACAATAACCAAGTGATTCGATCAACCTAAGTGTCCATCCATGGATGAATGGATAAAGAAAATGTGGCATATATATACAAAAAAATACTATTCAGCCTTTAAAAAGGAAGAAATTGTGTCATTTGCAACAATATGGATGATCGTGGAGGACATTATGGTAAGTGAAATAAGCCAAGCACAGAAAGACAAATACCACATGATCTCACTTATTTGTGTAATCTAAAACAATTAAACTCACAGAAGTAGAGAGAAGAATGATGGTTGCTAGAGGCCGGGGATGTGGGAATAGGGAGATGACAATCAAAAGATACAAAGCCTCAATTAGATAGAAGGAATATGTTTGACTTTTTTTAGATCTATTACACAACATGGTGAATACAGCTAATAATTAAGCACTGTATGTACATTTCAATACTGTTGAGAGTACATTTCAAATGTTTTCATCACAAAATATGTCAAATATTTGAGGTGATGGATAGATTAGCTTTATTTAATCATCCCACATTATATTCAAAAATCATAATGCCACTTCGTACCTCATAAGTATATACAACTATAATTTGATATATAATAAAAAATTTTTAAAGGTAGTCTCCTAACAATCATATGAGGATTATCCTAAAATGTCCTTTAGTAACTGTCATGGACTGAAAAGTATCCCATGAAGAGACAATGTCTACTCAGAACATGTGAATACAAACTTACTTGGAACATGGGTCTTTGTAAACATAATTAAGGGTCTCCAGACACAATCACCCTAGATCAGGGTGGGCCCTACATTCAAAGACACTGTCCTTAAAAGGTAATGAAAAGACAGAGGGAAAGGCCGTGTGAACGCAGAGGCAGAGACTGGAGTGAAGATTGCTGTCTGCAATACTTAGACAAGATATGCCCATAAGCCAAAGAACTCCAAGAATTGCAGACAGCCACAAGATATTAGGAAACAGACATAGAATGGATTCTTCCTTAGAGCCTCCAGAAGGAACCAACTCTGCTGACACTTTGATTTTAGACTTCTGGCCTCCAGACTGTGAGGAAAATTGTTGTAAGCACCCAAGTTTGTGGTCATTTGTTATGGCAGCCCTGGGAAGCTAATACAATATGTATTTCATAAAGGAAATCCCCCTTTTAAAGGATTATAATCAACACAATTTGTCTTTGGCCATCATACATTTCATATTAGGAATTAGTGAAAGAGCTTCATCATTTCTGGATTGTAAACAATAACCAACAATTTGATGCCTAGACAGACATATATGAGTCTCTACTTTATCATTTACTATCTATGCATTTCTATTTTGACTTAGAATTAAAATTATATTTACTGAAATGTTAAGGAACTTTTCAGTCAAGAATATCACCTGACCATTTGTAAATATTTGCTAACACATTGTTATTAGGTTGGTACAAAAGTAATTGTGGTTTTGCCATTACTTTCAATGGCAAAAACCACAATTACTTTTGCACTAACCTAATAGTTCTCTCTGAAGAGAATAAATTAGTTCTAGTAATATGAAGCATACCCAGTTTTAATAAACTTATACATACAAAACATTCCCAAGCTTTGTGAGGGGCCAACATTACGAGAGCGATATGAGATATCTGAAAACAATTTTATTTTCCCATTATTCAGGCTTTTGAAGCAGGTCTTAAGCTTTCCCAGTTCTTTGCCACTTAATTTCTTACATATGTTTAAAATATATATTAAAAAAACTAATGTAATTTGAGGACCACCACTGCACCTAAAAGAAATTCCATGTTTTCCACCTATTCAGTTGTTCTTTGTAGAAATGGTCTAATTATTAAGTCCATTTTTACAGTTCAAAATATCACTGATATTACCACATAAACCTTTGAATGTCCTGACTATTTGGCCACTGAAAAGTCTTGTTCAGAAAGATGTAAAAAGTTATGAAATTAACAATTGCATAGCAACTCAGTTCACAAACAAGTCTGGATGTGGGAGGCAGAGTTATGTTAAGCCTATAAATGACATAAGGTAAAATGAAGTAACGAAATTCCAGCAGTTTCTGAGGAACTATAACAATGAACAAGCATATGAAAAACATTAAATTCCAAAAAATTGGCTTTGATTTCAATGAGTCAGCTATACTCCAACCAGCAAATATATAGGCTGGAACTAACAAATATTTCAGAATTGCATATCTTTGAAAAACTCTTTTCCACACATAGAAAGTATAATGTCTATTGTCTGCTAGCAAGTATTTATGAGCATAAGTGAATTTCCAAACTAAAAACACAGAGACTAAGGTAACCACCAAAAACAGAATTCCATGTTTCCAAACTAAGGAAAGAAAAGTCTTAATTTTGCTAGGAGACAGGAGATGAGGAAAAGAAAAAAAGAGAGTAAATGAAAAAAAGTAGAATAGTTGAGGAAAATGAAGACAGGCTTCATGACTACTCCGATCGCCAATAACAATTCCACCATTAACTACTACAAAAGCACAAAACAGAAATCCCAGAAGGATGTAGGGCCAAGTCAAACAGAAAAGCATACTCAAGTTTTTAAAGGACATGGAATAAGCCAAAAGAAACTGAAGAATTTTTCTGAATTCTGCAAATGGTCCTTTAATAGGTGGAAGTCTGTCTTCCTTCTTTTGTAGCTCAGTTTTCCAAGCCTCAGTTAACTTTTGTGCAATGACATTCCCTGCACAGAAGACAGCCCAGATGATATTTGTTTGCCGAAACATGAAGCCACAAAATCCAAGGAAGGCTGAAGTTTTATGATTTCCATAAAGACACATCAAATATGCAAAAAGAGTAAAAAACATAGATCCTGCTTCTGTATAATAAAGGAAGTTAAAAAAATAAAGTGTTGGAAATACTGCTAGTGTTAATGTTGACAAGACTCTCTGGATACTTGAGGCAGCCTTGGAGGAAGAAAAAACACAGATACAATTATTTTAATGATAAATGCTATTTCTGCTTACCTAATGAAGAGATTTATTTAAAACTACTCAACTACTCAAACCTTATTTAAATAAAATTAATCAATATTAATCTTATCTCTGGCTTTGCAAAAACACAATAAACATTTATAAGAACACTTCCTGGTACTTTTTATTTATACCTATCAGTTTGGAGACCGTGTGTATGCCAAAGCTTCTATAGCTTAACACAATTTGAATCAGGCTATGATTAGTTAAGGAGTTACTGAGTGCAAGATACCGACTAAGTTCTGTGGGGACTATGGAGATAAATAGGACACAATGCTGGCTCCATTTCCCTGAGCTTATGTTTTAGTGCCTTCAATAAGGATTCACTTAGCCATAATCACCACTTTCCTTTAAGGAAATCCTTCATAACACTACACAAGGGAGAATGTAAACATGCATATGGTATTTATTTTACCATATCCAGACTTACTTTTTCAAGATGATATTTTCATGATGAAATAACGGTATTTTTCTGAAAAGTGAGCCAGTCTAAACTTATATATCTTATTTTGGCCTTTCTGACATGCTATTTCAGAATTTGAAAGTGTTCTTATGTTCTTGAATTGTATACTCCACTTAATCTAAATCACTAAATCAGACCATGTCATTTCCTTGATTAAAATTAAGGTCTCTCCATTACATGCTAAAGTTCAAAGTCCTCTCTGTGACATATGAGGGCATTCATGACCTACTTCTCTAGCCTTACATCCCTCTACTTTCTAATCCTGTAATTCCAAGACCAATTCCCTGCACCTCATTGTTCAATGCCTTTCTTCCTTTGCTTATGCTGTTTGTCTCCCCAGGATTAATTCCTCACCCTACACAGCCCTATCCGTTCATCAGGACTCAGCTCTGGTACCATCTTCTCTGTGAGGACTTACTGAATGCCACATACTCCTCTCCCTCCCAGAAAAGCAGTAAGTGTTTCCCTGCTCCTTCTCTGTGTCCTCATAGCATCTTATGTCTACTACTCTATCATAATTGACACTACTGAAATAATCTCTTAAGGTTAAAAATAATTATTAGAGTTAATATTTACTGAGCCCTTACTATATATCTGGCACTATTTGAAGCATCTTCCATTTATTAAGTTTCCTTGTTCCTTTATAACAGTTCTATAAGGCAGATTCTATTGTTATTCTTATTTAACAGATGAAGACATGGAGCCACTAAGGGTTAACCTGCCCACAGTAACAAAACTGGTTAAGTGGCAGGGAGAGAATTCTAACCCAGGCAATCGACCTCCGGGGCCTGCACTATTACCACATCAAAAGTCCTCAGGTAAAGTCTGTTTTCCCTACTGAATATATACGTTTTACAAGAAAAAGACTGCCTCATTTATCTCTGTAGTCCCAGTCCCCAGCACATGGAATAAGCTCAGTAAGTATTTATTGAACTGGTTTGACTCACTTAACAAATATTTACTTTAGAGTTTACAAATAAGTTATTCAAGTATTTAAATACAAATTTATTCTAAAATGGAGATGGAGAATTTAAATTTACCTTTACATAATATACAAAAAATACAAAGTTACAAAGTGTTAAAGACATTTTTCACCAAATCTCATAAAACTAATTCATTGTAATTGTGGACCTGACTACACATAAACTTGTAATTAAGTATTTTGAAACATACCTTGTTTCTGGGTTGTACCTTGTGGAAAAGCAAATATAGTAAATAGAAGTTGCCAACACTGAAGAGAAGATTAACAAATCTGAGCATCCCAATGGAGCAGACAACATGTTCAGACCATGCAAAGATCCAAATGGCAGGTTTGACCACTCCAACTGACACCAGGTACAAGCCAGGTAATGTAGTAATCATGGGATCCCACTTTAAAATGAAAGAAAATGAAGTAAAAGCAAGAGGTAATACGAACAAGACAGACACAAATATGTCAAGCCCAAGTCTCATCTCCAGCAACAATCAGAAATTTTGAGAAGTTAGTCTATGACAAGATTAAGTAAGTCCTTGGCAGAACAGGATTAGTTTTTCTTATTTTTTGCCCCCGGACCAGCTTAGTGATGGTTCAGGTAGCAGCAACCAATAAACAACAACTTAAAATCTATTTCTATTTTCCAAGAAATGTTCTTTAAAAGCCTTTATTTTGATAAATAAACTGCAAATGCTCCAGTTTTTAAAAGCATGGAAACATTGTTTGGGACTCTAAGTTTAGGAAAACATTTGGACCACAGGCTCCATGATGACAGCTGACATAAACTGAGACAGAAATTGTGCCAAACCCTCTGTATTGTAACATTACAATATGCCCTATAGTAAAGATTATTGTCATTTTGCAGATGAGTAACCTGAATTTCTGAAACTCAGAACATCTCCAAGATCACAAAACTAGTAAATCACAGCACCAAGATTTAAGATCAGATCTTTCTCTAAAACAGACTTTATATTTCTAGCCAGTACCCTATATTGTGTCACCAGAAAAGCAGGGGATGTTTATTTTGATATTTATATGTACATACTTGCACAGTCAAATATATATTCAAAAATGATGTGACTTGACTGGTTGCCAGTTTATCCAGTCAACAGATAGTTCACTAAAAATACCCAGGGAAGGAATTTGTGATTATAAATTGTCACTTTTTGGTAGCCGAAGATCCCTCCAGTCCACCCTATCCCACCCCTAAAATGCACAGTGAGGTGCTTAACAGGTGAGCTAAAGGGAAGTTTTCTGATATTTCCAAGGAGCACCCGAATGCCTTTAATCCTGAGACAAGGAAAAACAAAGTGGGATCGATATTGTCAGCTGCCAAGAGGAGCGCTCAGTTCCCCACTAAGTATTCTCCCAGATCACTCCTCCCTGGGGATCAGATCTGCTGTTTATTCATTCATTTAATAAATATTTCACAGATCTCAGAGACAGGAACAAAAGACTATACCCAGTTTCTTTCATGTTCTGAGGCTGGGGTGGGGTGGAAAGGGACGAGTTAAGTCTAAAGATGGGAGAAGGAGCTGGGGACGCTGGGACCTTTCAGGCCTCTCCTGGGGTGGGGACAGGTTGGGCACCCCACCTGGGAAAGGGAGAAATGGCCCTCACAGTAGCGCTGCGCCTGAGGCAGGTGGAAGATCTCGTCCATGTAGGGCTCTCGCAGCGCCCGGCTGAAGGCGGAGAAGAGGAGGCAGGACACTAAAAAGGTACAGCTCAAGGCGGCCGAGAAACAGTAACCCTCTAGCTGCGCCATTCCTGCTCCCACAGCCACTGCCCAAGAACCCACTCCTGGAAAATTCTGAGCCCGGAAACCCGAGCTGGAAACTTGGGCTCGAAATGGGCGCGCTAGACAGGACTAGCCAGACGGGGCCACATACCGGAAGGCAAAGGATGCTGGGAGAGCGCGGATCCGGAAAACAGCGGGTCGCTGTTTCCTGGAGTGACGGGTTTAGATAACGGACCGGATGATTACCCTCTCCATCACATTACTCGGGGCGCACAGTGTCAAAACTTCCGGAAAGGGCGGGTCTCGGATTTCGCGAGCGCGGGAGGGGCGTGGCTTGCTGCTTTGGAAAAAAAAAAAAGCCGCTTCTTAGCTTGGATCTTTTTTCCTGCTCATTTCCATCACTTACCAGAAGGTGGCGACGTTTCCCCACGTTTCCAATTCCAAGCCCTAAAATTAACACATTTTTTTCCCCCGTTATTTCTTTTCTTTCTCTCCAGTGATCCGAATTAATTAAACCCTCAATTCCAAGACATTTCATTCCATCAACCTTGGAGTGTAGGAAGGGGGCGTTGGTTGTGATAGCAAAGACTGAGACTTTCAGATGAAAACTTGAAGAACCAGAGACCCGTCAATGCCGAATGAACTTCAGTGAGAGGAGTGTTTGTTCGTTTGTTTGTTTGTTTAGGTTAAGAGAGAACTCTTTCAAAATGTGGATGCTCTCAGAGGATTTAGTAAAATTGACACTCCTAGTGCACTCTCATAGCCATATTACCCTGTAGGATTTGGAAGAAAATATATATTTTAGAATTTGGGATGTTTTAGGTGTGCCTGTAAATTAGGTTGTTAATATTTATAAGGCAGCCTTCTGTTTTTCCTACTAAATCATAAGCGTGAACATCTTAGTGGGTGGCATTATACATCCTTTATGTTTGTAGTCCCCCAAATGGCTTTCACACAGTAGGCACTTAAATTTGTGGACTTTTATAGGCTGTGTAGACATCATCAAATTCCTGTATTCTGGGATTAGGTGTTGGGGGCAGGAGATGTGGTAAATAATTTGAAGAATGCCGAAGATAAATTATGTGTTGGAATTTTGTCTTGAGCATGGTTGGCCATGTTTTGTAGAAAAACTTTCTCTCAGGTAACCTCAGTCAGGTTGCCTTTGGCAGGCATATATCAGATTGAGTCGGGATTTAAGGTTGCAAACCTCAGAGTTCTCAATTGAGCTCTTTTTCTGGGTTAAAAATAATTCAGTATTTCTGAACTTAAGAAAGTTTCTTAAATCAAGCTGACTGCCTTTCCAGTCTGTCTCTGCCTGTTTCCTCAATGATAAGAGGAGGTAGTGGTGAATGAGGGCTGGGACGGGAATATTTACATTACTGGAATAAAATCATGTCAGGATTCTACTCTGATGTGATGCTTAGCTTTGCTTTAACCATCATCTCCCATTTTATTATTGATTCCATGCTGTACTTATCTGTTTAAGTCACTTGTAACACATCTCCAGATGATTCAGTCTTCAAGAGGTTGATGTGATCTACGAGTAATTAGCCCCTGACCTATTGACCTGCTAAATCGTGTTATATATACTCTGCAGCTTACTGACCCACCCTAGAAATAGTGGGCCGTTTTTAAAGGGAGTAGAACAAGACTAGACATTTATGCTCTCCATTTTTCTTCATAACAATTGCCACCAATAGTTTATGTTAAACATTTGACTCCTATACATGCTGCACACATCGCTTTACATAAAATGGAAAGTTTCAAGGAAATATAGGGTTTTAGGATGGCTAGGGATCTTTATTAATAATCTACTTGACTTCATTTTATAAAAGAAGCTGATTTTTAAAAAATGAATAATTTACCTAAAATTACATAAAAAATTAGTGTCAGAACCAAGTGTAGGAATTAGAACATCAGACCAAGAGTAATAAAATAACTTCACAGCCTTATAGGTTAAAATAATCTACAATATATACTGAATTGAATGTTTCACTAGTCCCAATAACTTTACATTTACATTCCACTATTCTCTGTTTCCATACACCAATTTGAAATACAAGTTTCATCTTTTAAAAAAATGTTCGTCTTACAGACTAATTACATCAAAATCTGCTGGGGGATCATTGTGAAAAACTAGATTCTAGAGAGCCATCTCAAATCACTGAATACTGATCTTCATATTTGGAAACGATTGATGTAAAACATATTACCTAAGAATGCTAAGAAGCTCCATGGGCCCAGTAGAGTTCTTCATAGAGTACTTCACTCATTTGTTAGTGAGTTACTTTTACTATCTGCAAATCGATGAAGCTGTTGTCACTTTTCTACTCTTAGATTACAGCATCTTTGATAATCTTGAAATGCTTTCCAAAGCTCTGCTCCTAAATCAAGACCTAGTAAAATAGCTACCTCTGGGGTTTTAATGAAATAGACTACATTTTATTAGACCTATCATTTAAAACTAGATCAGCATTGATTTCAACTTATATTTTCCATTCAGAATTCCAACTGCCATTTTCCATAGATGTTTGTGAAAAAGAGTCATTAGGATGAGCAATCCCATTATAATTGCACATCAACTATTTATTTGTGCTACTTGAATTATGATAAATAAGTTACGGCAGAAAAATGGGCAATTTCTGTTGGGGTTCTAAGGATAGGTTGTTTTAGCAAGAAATACATCTTTTTTGGTTTATAAGCCATTAAGATTTTGACTTTATTTCTCTGGTATAACCTAGCTGACTTTGATCAATTAAGACATTCCTAATTTGATGAACTCAGACAACATAGCATATACTTAACTGTTTGAAACAGCCATATCTGAACAGTGAATTTCCCCAAAGGCTGTAACTGTAATAACTTTGAAGTATTAGTCCAAGAAACACCCTGCCTCTTATTGCACCCCTTTTCACTTGTTGCTGAATGAAAACATTGGCCACTTGCTAATCAGAGTGACGGTTTACTCCTTTCTAGGTGACAATTCGTTCTAGCTACAGCAGAGTACTGCACCCTGGGCCAAAAATCACAGATGATAACCTCTAAAATGCAACTCTACCCTTGAGGTCAATCTTAACATATCAATTTAAAATCTAAATTTTAAAATTAATGAATCAATTAAAAAAACACACAACATTTTAGTACAAAAGCATTAGCAAGTATTTTAGCTCTACTGAAAATGTCTTGAAGACATTGTATAGGGGACTGGTTAAACCTAAGTAACACACACACGGAGAGACCCTTCTAAAAAACAGTAATATTTATTTGGTGAGAATACAATGAACATAGGGAGGTAAAAGAAGACAAGGGATTTTAAAAGAAAAATGAAGAGGGTTACATAAATTGCTTTGAGACAATTATCCTTGGTTACAAGGACTGGTAGAAAGGGTGGCACCAGTTTGAGGTTGGACAGGCAGTTGCTGGGCAAATGTCCTCACAGAAGTAATTTTTTGTGAGATTGTGGTGGCCTTTGTGCAAAGTTGTGGTTTGTGCAGTCTTTTGTCGTAGTTCCTGTTGTCAGGCATACACGCATATAAACCCTCCCTTTCTGGTCTTCCTTAGCTCCATTTTTCAGGGTTTTTATGCAAGTGGCCCCATTTTGATTCTGATAACTTTCATAGAACAAATCTTTCTGGTTTGTGGCAGACTTTCCAGTTTTACCCTTGAAAGTCTCAGGCCAGGTAAATTCTGTAGTATCAGACAAAGAGAATGGTTGGTGATATGGTTTGGCTGTGTCCCCACCCAAAATCTCACCTTGAATTATGATCCCCATAATCTCCACGATCCCCACGTGTCAACGGAGAGACCAGACGGAGATAATTGAATCCTTGGGGCAGTTTCCCCTATGATGTTCTCATGATACTGAGTGAGTTCTCATCTGATGGTATTATAAGTGTTTGATAGTTCCTCCTGCATTCATTCTCTTTCCTACCATCTTGTAAAGAAGGTGACTTGCTTCCCCTTCGCCTTCCACCATGATTGTAAGTTTCCTAGGCCTCTGCAACCATGCTGAACTGTGAGTCAGTTAAACCTCTTTCCCTTATAAATTACCCAGTCTTCTGCAGTTCTTTATAGCAGTGTGAAAAAGGCCTAATACACTTGGTCATTTAGAAAGATATACCATACAACCCAAAGCAAAACTTCCTAAATGTTTTTTTTTTATAACAGTGGTTCTTAAAGTGTGGTCCCTGTACCACAGCATTAGTATCACCTGGGAACCTGTTAGAAGTGCAAATAATTAAGTCTTGCCTTAGACCTACCGGAAAACAAATTCTGATAGCAGAGGGAGCCAAGTAATACATGTTTTAACGTTCATTTTGTAATCACTTATGATTCCCTTAGATTCCCAAGTGGACCTGATGGACATGAAAGTTTGAGAATACTGCTGTCCTCTACATTCCCCTTGCTTTTCTGATCACTCATGCTGCTTTGTCCCCTGGTTTCTCCAATTCTTCATCTCCAGGCTTCACCCTGCCAAGGAACAAAGTTCATTGCCAATGAACATATAGACGATGTTCCTCCTCAGCAGCTGAAGAAGAGGAACTTAAATACTTACAATTTAATGGCTTTTAGTTACATATATTTATATTCAGACAGATGGCTTTTCTTTCAAAAAACTATGCGAAGGGGAACTGTGCTTTTTGCTAAAATAAGTAGCTTAAAAACCATAGTCCTACAGCTATTGCTGCCAGTTAGATAAGAAACATTCCAGGAAAAGAAACTTCATGAATTCCTTTTCCTTTAAACTGCATAAAATTTAAGAGAATCATAAATTGATTATTAAATGAATTGCACTATTATACTGATGAAATTACAGTACTATTAAATCAACCAAAGTAAAAAGTTAGAAGAGAAGACATTGAATTAATTTTAATTCTTAAATAATTTTACAGTTTAAGAGACACAGTAATATGATCTTACTAATTTTAAAATTTCAGACGTTAGAGTGAGATTTATGATACAATTGTTATTACTGAAAATAGAGGTTTTGTGAAATATTGAGGAGGGTTTCTGGTTAATTCCCTTTTGGCTTTAGAAGCAGAGTAAAACAAGTGGGCATCCTTAGGCTGAGCATTAGGTACCCTGCACTGGCTAAAAGTTTGGCGTACATTCAGAATATTGCTCTTTAAACATGTGCATGTTCTAATTTAGTGAGAATGGAGATCACCTGACTTTTCATTAATTAAATTTAAATACAGAAACCCTCATAGAGATTTTATTTTCACCAGACAAAGCAGAAACATTGAATCAGTAGTTTCTGATCTCCTGTGGTTCCTGTTCTTTCTAGATTTCCTTTTGTTCTTGCTTCATTTTGGGTTGGTTTTCTGAATGAGGCAACAAACTGTATTAAATAATTTACATTTATTTACTATAATAAAATGAAACACTACACTGTTTTTTACTGCCTCCAAATGTTAGTTTCCATAACTGCCAAATTTCAATGACTGCAAAAATGTGTGAGAAAGGTCTCTGCATTTAAAAACGTGCTTTTTAAAAACATGTATTTCCACTAGAGGATGCTGACAACTTCAACAGAATCAGGACCAATTTGTTACTTTTGCCACCAGTTAGGTTATAGTTTGTTTACTGATTCCAGTTATGTTTTAGTTTATGTTTACTGATTGTAGTATTGTTTACTGGTCAGCACTCAAATATCCACCCAATGTGACTGCCACTCAGGATGGCTATGTTTGTAATTTTTTAAAGTTCATTATTTACAATATTAATAATTCATTACTATTATTTTTGGTAGTGAAAATATCTTACAATAGTGATGTCATCATCCAAAAAAATAATGGAAGCAGGTGAGAAACCAGACTCTGATGGAGATACAGGCACACATGGCATGATTGGCTGCCTCTGGGGAATGAACAACACACCGCACACTTATCTGGGCCCTTCAATCATGTGAAGAAAAAGCCTTAGTTCTCTGAGGAAGGTGAGATACTTCCACCCCAGGAAGCAGCCAAAGATCCTGGAGGAGGGAGAGAAGTAAAAATCTTTTGCCCTCAATGGAGTGGCAGGAAGGTCTTCAGGCCTCCATCCTTCAGTAATTCAAAGCAGAGGTATGGTGCTCCTACTGGAGAGGCCTTGAACACTCCCTGGCTCTAAAACACCATGCATGCAAGGCACAGTTTGGCTACTATAGTGAGGAGGAACAGGAACAACTTGAAAGCCCTCCATTCCCCCACTCAGGTAGGGTCTCAAGCAGGATGTGTCTACCACTGAAGATGGGCTAGGAGCACTGAACCTACCTCCTCACCTCCCGCTATGAACCTGGCTGGCCCTGAGTGACAAGAAGTCAACTGTTGAGGAATGGGACAAAGCATGGGGAGAAAAATCCCTCTGAGGTGCAGGCTTGCAAAGAGTGCTGAAAGTTGAGGATGGAGCAGGAATACTGAGAGGAAGACTTTTGACATTCAGGGCTCAGCACTTAGCACAAGATAAAAACAGATCTCCACTAGAATTTGAAGAGTGTGTGTGTGTGTGTGTGTGTGTGTGTGTGTGTGTGTCTTGATTATATTACCTAAGCACATATTTTGTAGAGTATATACCTAGGATTGTAATGAGAGTCTCATAAATTGGTGCATTTTCTAGGTTAAATATTAACAATGGGTCTTCCAAAGTGGTTGTACCAATTTATACTTCAAGCAGTATATGAGCGTTTTTCTTCTTTCATATCTTTATCAACACCTAGTATTGTTAGTTTTTTGTTACCCATTCTGGTGCATATGTTATGGCATCTCATTGTAGTTTTAATTTGTGTTTACCTAATGACGAATGAAAATAAGCTTTTTTCATATGTTTATTGGTCATTTGAATATTCTCATTTATAAAAGTTTAATTCAAGTCAATTGTCCAGTTTTTCGTGAAGAAGTCCGTCACAACCAATCCTCATGACATGTGATTACCTATGTAAAAAACCTTCACATGTACTCCCAAACCTAAAATAAAAATTAAAATAATAATAAATAAAAATAAGAAAAAGTCAAGAAATGGCAACATAGGCTTGTTATTTCAATTTACCAAGGTAACTGTCAAACTATTGAAAACAGTTAAATCTTGGAAAAACAAATCAAAGTTTGGCAAAGATAGTGACCCTTATTTAGAACAATTATAAGCTTATTGCACTTATTTTACCTTTGGAAGAAACACAGATGTTCATTTAAAAGTGTGTTTTGTGGACTGGTGCCTGTTCAGATCCCTGTATTACTATTTTTGAACATGTAAGTACAGAAATTAAGAATAAGCTTTTAGAAATTTTTATAGCAGTATGGCAGAGTAATTTTATTTTTGTAGAATTAATACTAAAAGTGAGCTTATATTTTATATGTCTGTTTTTTCTTTCACTTTTCTAACAATTCATTTTTGTTATATTTCATAGAATTATTAATCCATGATAGGTTGGAAATTTAGAATAAAACTAGTTATTTACCCTGTGTAGTTTGAGAAATGTTCTATTACCTTGCAACAAATGAAAATTTAACTTAAAAAGTAAAATAAAATAAACAACTTTGTATTATGTCCAGAAGATGTGTAAGGTGATATTTTTGACCTGGTAACTTAAAAATTTAATATAATAAATATTTAACATAGTGTTTTTGTTTGGCCAACATCATTTAGTAGAATGCTCAACACTCAACCTAAACTTAGCCCTTTCTTTTATTTTTGAGAATTCAGTGCTGAATGTCAAGAAGGTTATTTATCAAGCAAGCATAAACTAATTTGGCTTTTTGTTATGTTCCAGAACTTTAATTTTTTTCATGATTATAGGTATTCTTCATTGGTAGAGCACTCTACTTTTCCACCTCTGCAAACATGTTATCAGATAGCTCATTGCAGTGAAAGCAAATCTTAGCCAAATTCCTCAGAAAAATGGACACGTATTAATTATAATGAGGCAGAAGCAGCCAATAAATCAGTTTGTAGGTTGGAGTTCCTTCTCTCTGCTCTCTGGTATCCTGGCCAACACTTTTATGTGTGTTTCATTTCTAAGCAGATGTGATGATAGTCTTATACTACAAATGGCAAACCTTGTAATCAGCTCTTGAACTGAGACTTTTTTATTTCTCTGTCTCTCTCTTTTTTTCTTTTTTTTTTTTTGAAGTTGAGAGAAATTAAATCAATACTTTTGGCTTTCTACTGCCATGAATCCTGTTATACCATTCCCAACTATTTCCTTAACTTAAACAGCAGTAATACCGGCAATCAAAAACTTGTTTAATAAAACGTCCTATATTATTTACTACAACTTAAAATGTCTATACAGATATTTTTTGAAAATTATTTTTATTGAGATATAATTTATGCACAGTAAAATTCACACATTTTCAGTGTATGGTTCTATGCCTAATCCCTCATGGGTATAAGTGAAAGTCTTGCAGATAGATTTTCTTTAAATCCTAACTAGCCAGATACAAATAGTTGAATCAAATTAATTAATGTGTTAAATGGCTGATCAAAATATTTTTATTCAAGTTACCTATTCATAAACCTCTTATTTCTCAATGTAATATAAAATATAACAGCTTTACTGAAAATACTACATGCTTTCATTAATGAAAAATAAGTAATTATCACAAATGCATTTGGGTCAAATGCTTATGCACTTTGTAATCACCTTATGTTCAATGCCACCGACCTAGGCGAAAAGCTGCAAATATAAGAATTTCTGTGGAAGGCTATTCATTTTTTAACTTGATTATTCGTAACACCACTATTAATTATCTTTCACTATATAATTAAGAATATATAATTAATTATATTAATATATTTCAAATAATATATTTTAATACACAATAAATAATATTCTTTATGGAACATTACTACCTCAAACAGTAGAAATCAACTGTGTATTACATTCTAGCAGAAATGTAAAAAGCCACTAAACAATTAACTCCTGCACTTTTTCCTCTGCCATAAGAATGTCAGGTACTAAATAGGGATTGTATCTTTAGCCTTTGTTCTGAGATGGAAATTCACAGAGTCATAGCGGCCAACCCACAGGTGCCTACAGTACTATGAATGAGAAATATACATTTGATGTTGTTGCTACTGTAAAGCCACTTAATATAGTGCATTTATTATGTTGCTAACATTATTTGCCACGTAGACACTTGATAGCAAGTAACATACTCGGTGCTTAACACAGTATCAAACATTCAGTAGTCCTTAATAACTACTGAATTATTCATTACTCATTGATAACACTTGAATAAATAAAAGAACTGAAAGCTATCCTAGGGTATAATGTCACCTAAGTTTGGGAAGAAGAAAAGTAGTTAAAGTCACTGAGGGCTACTTGAGGAGATGGGAGTAGATTGGGTCTTAGGAAACTAGGAACGTCGTGAAGTCATTAGCGCAACTCTGTGCATTGTCGTTTGCCTAAGAATCTGTAATTAGTTTAGTCTAGAAAACAGTTTGGTGGAGCTTGAGTAATGAGTCTTTTGCTTGACATGCTCCTAGTAAGTATGTAATAAATATCTGTTGGTCATAATGCCATTTAAAATGACATTTCATAAAAAATATATCCTGTCTTATTAAAATAAAGAAATAAATCAGAACCTAGGGATACTTCATCAAAGATTATAATGTTTCTTTGATTAGCAAGTGAGTAATGTAAAAATTCCATGTTATTAAATCAAGGTTACAGCAACACAAATTTACTTGGTTCTTTTATTTAAAGAATATATTTTAGCTTTATTTATGATGGTTCTAAGTATGCTCACAAATGTATTGCCTTATTTGGAAAATTTAATTAAATCTCTGCTTTGGGAGATCTTAGTATTATTAATGTGTAAGGATAAATCTGAAACAGGCTCGTGAAAATGACAGCATTAATAGCATAGGTATTAATACCTCTGCTTTTCTCTTTCAGCAACTTCAATTCACCAGGTATTTGAATTAATACAGAAGTTTATATCCAGAGGAGTTAAAGTTGTTATAAAATCAGTCTCCTTGGAACTGCTACCATTTATCTTTTTCAATATTGCAGGCAGGTACTATTTCAATTATTTGACACATGGAATTTTGGAAGAATAGTAAAGTGTAGCACATCTTTTATTTGCGTCTTAGAAAATTTTTCTGCATTCTACAATTGTTCCAAGGCCGAATAACTTGTCAGTCCAAACTGTACGAATTACTGTTAGTGTAAGAAGACTCTGTGACTACATTTTGGTCCTTTATATGATCTCCTGAATTTTATATTGACCTGCTAGTGAAGAATATTCTGATACATTGCAATATTGACTTACTAATAAATTACTACAAATATAAAAGAGAGACCAAACTTTGTTTACTTTATTACTATAGGAAGTCAATTTATAGCATTTCATTAAAGAAAAAAACTCCATGTGAATCTTTGTTATTGACACATAGTCATTCAGTAAAATAGGTGATTCATATATTAACTATAGAAGATTTAAACACTTACAATTTAAAAATTTGACAAATTTCTGAGAAAGTTGATATACCTGAAAAAATACTCATAAACCAGATGCTTTATCCCTAGTGTTAGAGAAAGCTTCACAAAGATGCTCAGGTTTAAAATTTAAAATAATATAATTTAGTTACATGTCAGAAAAAAGGAGGTGTGGGTAGGAGGAGGGAGCATTCCATTTAGAGATATCAGCACAAGAAAAAGTAAAGAGGTATGAAAATGTGAAAGATTTGAAGAAGTGCATTCAAATTTATTTTCAGAAGAAAATTAAAAAGTAGAGAAATAGACAATTTTAAAATCATAGGTTATTTAAATCCCCATAGCAGCCAGTCATCTGTTCTAAATATATCACTTTATTCAAGGACATCAATATTACTGCAGGTTCCAAGATGAGTGAAAAATATACTAACTCTTTAAGAGTCACTGTTTTTCAAGAATATTTATCTATTACATATTTTATGGTCCACAGTCATGCCCGTTAATCCCCTCTTTCAAGGTAATTCACATTAAACTAGGTAGCCAAAATGAATGTGGTTAGGTGAAATTTTTGTTTATTATACTTTAAGTTTTAGGGTACATGTGCACAACATGCAGGTTTGTTACATATGTATACATGTGCCATGTTGGTGTGCTGCACCCAGTAACTCGTCATTTAACATTAGGTATATCTCCAAATGCTATCCCTCCCCCTTCCCCCCACAGGTGAAATATTTTTATACACTCTTTTACAAGTACTTGTAGCCTGAATAAGAAAAACGGAATCTTTCCAAAGATGAGGACTGAGACTACTTCTAAATCAACAATTTATTCTGGTTTTGAAAATAAAACTGTGCTAATGGAAAGCATTGTTTTCCAGCATGAATTAAATTATTGTGGTCTATATTTCCTGATGAAGGAGTAGGTTCCTGGCAAAATTATGTTACATTTGCATTTTGATAGTTTTAGGCTGTTCCCTTCAAATTCAGAGAAATACAAATATATTATATTAGAGTATTCTTAAGAGAAATATAAGTATTCCATTATATTTTACCAGGCACATTCATGGGACATCCAATACAATCTATAATTTTTGTAAATCAAACAGCCAAGTAATGAAACATGTTATTTTCCAGAAAGTAGGATACATATATCTATTTCATCATTGATAAGCTTATTTCATTTCTCTAGCATGTAAACATTAAACTCTTAGAGTTGTGTTTATTACAAGAGGATTTTTTAATACCAACATGTGAAGCTTATATAAGATGAAGGTAAAATATTTAGATTGTTATCAATATAGTCTCAAGAGTAAAAGCTTTAATAAACAAACATGGATTTACAACACAAACAGCATGGGGATAATTTTTCAAATTACATAATGTTTTCATTGTTTGAAAGCAAAACAAGAACTACAACACCAAAAAGAATAAGGGTTCCTTTCCACAGCAAATGCCCTAGTTTAGTAAAAGAAAGATTCGATTGTTAAAATTAGAATTTGTGTATAAATTTGCAGAAACATATTTATTCTCTACAGTGAAGTTAGTAGATATGTAAAGACATTAATTAGTACCGATAACAACATGTATATTGTACCTTTGATGTTGTCTTAGTTTCCATAAAATCTGTTGTTTTGACAGTGTTCATTTAGCATGATTAATAAATCAAAATATTTTAACCTAAAAATTGATGGTCATTATTCATAGAACAACAATAATTAAAATTTGATTTGTTTATTTATGGTGAACATGGTGAAATAATTAGCTATGTGAAAAGCATTTATTTTAAATAGGTTCATGTATCTTTTGATAAACAAAAGATCTATACATTTTATCTCTGTCCCTAGTACATCTATTCCATCACAGAACTTCTTAGTTTGAAAACATAATTTATATACACAGTTTGCCTTTTAAACTGGAATTTCAATCTTTCAACAAGTGTTTATTAAGCACTAAGCACTAGGGAAAAAAGCAGTTAATACAACA
Organism: Homo sapiens; assembly: GCF_000001405.40. Taxonomy (NCBI): domain Eukaryota; kingdom Metazoa; phylum Chordata; class Mammalia; order Primates; family Hominidae; genus Homo; species Homo sapiens. The sequence continues at coordinate 38,304,521 of NC_000012.12, read as the reverse complement.
GAAATAACTCCTTTTCTCATGGCCGGCCATCTACTATAGTGTTTCCTAAGCAGCAGCTTTTTTAGACATTGTCTAAAGGTACATAATTCTCTATAAAAATTTTAAAACACAACTTTCCACAATAATTAAAATGTATTTTATGCTGTCTAATATGATAACCACAGCCACATGCGACTAGGGTAGTTGAACAGAGACTTTAATTAAATTAATTAATTAATTTTTTTTTGAGATGGAGTCTCGCTTTGTTGCCCAGGCTGGAGTGCAATGGCTCCATCTCGGCTCACTGCAACTTCTGCCTTCTGGGTTTAAGCAATTCTTTTGCCTCGGCCTCTCGAGTAGCTGGGACTACAGGCCTGTGCCACCATGCCTGGCTAATTTTTGTATTTATAGTAGAGAGGTGTTTCACCATATTGGCCAGGCTGGTAATTTAATTAAATATTAACTTAAATATTAATTTTTTATATTAACTTCTCTTTAATGGCTAGTGGTTATTGTACTAGAAAATGCAGTGCTAGATGTTCTTAGAGTTGATACTGCAATGTGAACTAGCCACTTGTGTTTGATTTTATGTTTATACCCAGGCTGGCGATGTGTGGAGGCCCAATGATAACATGGCTGACCATCCTACTCATAAATGTTTCCCAATGCATAATTTGAATATTGAAAGATGGTGAGAGCTTTTGGGTATCATAAAACTATAGCAAATATGAACACTGGCCTCGTACAGTGGCTCACGTCTGTAAACCCAGCACTCTGGGAGGCTGAGGTGGGCAGATCGCTTGAGCTCAGGATTTTGAGAACAGTCTGGACAACATGGCAAAACCCCATATTTACCAAAAATACAAAAAATTACCCGGACATGGTGGTGCACCTATCTACTTGGGAGGCTGATGTGGGAGGATGGCTTGAGCCCAGGAGGTGGAGGTTGCAGTGAGCTGCGATCACACCACTGCAGTCCAGCCTGGGTGACAGAGTGAGACCCCATCTCATCTCAAAACACACTTACACACACACACACGCACACACACACACATAGTAAGAAAGTCTAACTGGAAAAGTCCAATGGCATAGTAGCAAGTATGCAATTTAGGTTACAAGCATTGCTTAAGTCTATTAATTTGCCCTGTAAATTTGCTTCATATATTTGTTTAAGAATTGTAAACAAAAGCTAACTCAGTTTTATGCTGTACTTATTTAAGTAACAAAATAATTTATATATTTTATCAATGATGAAGAGAAATTTTTTTCTTGAAAAGGGTCATTAGTCACTGAAATTTGAGAAATATTAGTCTAGAGAATAAGATGTAGTCACTGTGTTGGCATTATTCAACTAGCTTTGTGGCCTATTTGACTCTCACAACGACTCTATGAGGCAGATATAACTAAGATCACCAATTTATAGCTTTGGAAAGAGGTTACTATTTCAGCAATCTGCTTAAAGTCCTATAGAACAAATAATGATTCAGGGTTTAAATTCACATCCTTTTTATTCCAGAATAGTATATGCAGTATGCTAAGAAGAATAATGGCTCCCCAGGGGTGTCTACCTCCTAATCTCTACAACTGGTGAATGTGTTACCTTAAGTGGCAAAAGATACTTTGCAGATATGGTTAGGTTAAGCATCATGAGATGAGAATAGTACCCCGGCCTGTTCAGTAGGTCCAACATAATTACAAGGAGTCTTAGAAAATGGAGGAAGGAAGGTCAGAATGACCGAAGGAGACATGATGATGGAAGCAGAGGTCAGAGTGATTTGAGAAAGGGACCACAGGCCAAGGAAGGCAGGAGGCCTCTAGGAACTGGGAAGGTTAAGGAAATGGATTCTGCTCTAAAGCCTCCAGAAGGAATACAATCCTGCTGACACCTTGATGACATCCTTACAAGGTAGTTTAGGGTCCATTTCATACACCTTTGTGAGGAGGGACTTGTGGGAGGGTATAGGGAGGGAAGTTGTGCTTCATGAAAAACCCGTTTCTTCCAGCATACATCGCAATAAAGGAGCATTCAATTCAGTAACATGTAGGACACTCTCAAGATGATTTCTGATAAATACATTCTTCTCCCTCATTTAATTTCCAGTGATGTTTTATGGGCAATTAGTTACAGATTGAATATATACACTTTAAAGTGCTTAGTTTATTGATCCCATAATCTGGCTCAAAAACAACTTAGGTTTTTATTAGAAAACAGAAGATAAAAATGAAATAGACATGTTTGGTCATCAAAAGAGGCTGGAGAATCTAGGATGTTGTATAGAGACATGCGCTCAGAATTATTCACCAACAATATTGTCACCCTCCTATGCCAACACTGAAAATGGTTGCCATTTTTCAGAAATGAATCATCTCTACTTTGCAAAATAATACAAAATCCTAGAGTGGAAAGTGAAAGAAGATAAAGGTAAGGAGTGAATTACTGTCTTTTAAAAATAATGCTTTGTCAGACAAAATTGCTTATTTGTGTTTTATTGAGGGCCAGGAGGACATCTTCATCATATCACATAGAATTAGTTCTGCAAATAGTGTAATTACTATGCTTGTCTCATTATGCTGCTATTTGCTGACTTTCCAGGATAAGGAGAGAAAAATATTGGCTGCCTTTTCACAGATTCCAGGTTTTAATTTCTCTCTAGGGTATAATTTGTAACAGAAAATAAATCTGTTACACATTGTAAACATATAGAATCATAAACTAGTTTTACTTAAGTTGAATATATTCATATATACCAATAAAAGAAACAATACTATTAATTGTATTTATGAAAGATCCAAATTTACAAAGCCGAAGAGTATGAGTTTTTTTATCTTTACATAAAACCCACAAAGATTTGTAAAGCAACTATAGATTATCATTTTACAGCTGAAAAATTTTGAGTCTAGAAAGATCAACATGCCTAAAATCATGCAGATGGTAAAGTAGTTGAATCTAGGGCTTGAACCCAATACTTGACATTTTCTTTTGGTTTTGGGTTGCTTTTTTGATTCATTGGTGAGTGAGTTGGTAAATGAGATAGGTGCTCCTAACACCTAGGAAGTTAGAATTGTCCATTGGGATAAACAGCTGATTTCATTATAGAAACTTGGATAGGATATTAGGAAAGGTTAAGAAAGGAAGCCACCATTTATTGTGCTGGAACTGAGAGGCCATAGATGTAAAAATGTAAACATTAGTGAAACAATCAGTTCATTACCTAGACTTTATCTCCATAATTACAACCTTCTTTGTATTTGAGTACTCTTACATAAATTGTAACTGGCTATTCAATTTTATATTATGATGATGGGTATATTGTCTAGGTAATGTTTGGTGATAGGTGGTAGGCACTTCTATATTATTATTGTATCATATCATTATTATATGAGGATTATGATTGAATCCTCATAGCAACACTGAGGTACATATTATTTTACCACTAAAATCTGAGACTCACAGGTTGAATGCCCTTCCTGAAGTTATACAACTAGAGAGTGGCAATCTAATAAACATTCTTTCCATCATGCTATTCCCTGCTACTAAGTTTGAAGGGAGTTACTAACTGTCTTTCTCCATGACAGATTCCTGCAAATCAAGCAAAAAAAAAAAAAAGATTCTTTGGAGAGGGCATGTATCATTTCTTTTCCATAAAAGTTGCCCTTCCTAAGTGATAGTTAGTTACATGTGAATGAATCTTTAAAAGAGAGTGAGCATCTTTGCCTTGTTCCAGTTCTCAGGGGGAATGGTTCCAGCCTTTACCCATTCAGTATGATATAAGTTGTGGGTTTGTCATAGATTGCTCTTATTATGTTGCGGTATGTTTCTTTGATGCCTGGCCTGTTGAGGGCTTTTATCATGAAATGATGTTAAATTTTACTGAAAGCTTTTTCTGCATCTATTGGGATGATCATATGGCTTTTGCTTTTAATCCTGTTTATGTGGTGAATCACCTTTATTGATTTGCCTATCTTAAACCCACCTTGCATTGCAGGAAGGAAGCCTATTTGATCATGGTGAATTAACTTTTTGATGTGCTGCTGGATTCAATTTGCTAGTATTTTATTGAGATTTTTGCATTTATATTCACCAGGGATATTAGCCTGAAGTTTTCTTTCTTTGTTGTGTCTCTGTCAGATTTTGGTATTAGGCTGATGATGTAGGGAGGATTTCCTCCTTTTTGATTTTTTGGAATAGTCTCAGTTGGGTTGAAACCAGTTCTTTGTCTTTCTGGTAGAATTTGGCTGTGAATTCATCTGATCCAGGGTCTTTTTGGGTTGGTAGGTTTTTTTTTTTCATTACTAATTCAATTTCAGAGCTCGATGTTGGTCTATGCAGAGTTGCAAGCGCCTCCTGATTCAATCTTGGGAGACTGTGGGTTTCCAGGTATTTTTCCATTTCCTCCATATCTTCTTATTTGTGTGCATGGAGTTTCTCACAGTATTCTCTAAGGAGCTTTTGTATGTCTGTGTGATTAGTTGTAGTGTCATATCTGTCACTTCTGATTGTACTTATTTGGATCTTTTTTTTTCTTTATCTAGCTAGCAGTCTATTAATCTTATTTACTTATTTTTTGAATAACCAACTCTTGGTTTCATTGATCTTTTGTATGGATTTTTGCATCTTAATTTCATTAAGTTCCTCTCTAATTTTAATTATTTTTTATCTTCTGCTAGTTTTGGAGTTGGTTTGTTCTTTTGTTTTCTAGTTCTTTTAGGTACAAAGTTAGATTAATAACTTTAGATCTTTCTAACTTCCTGATGAAGGTGTTTAGGGCTATGAACTTTCCTCTTAATATTGCCTTGGCTGCATCCCAGAAATTTTGGTAATTTGTGTCCCTATTTTCATTAATTTCAAATTTTTTTACAAAATTTCTGCCTTAATTTTGATGTTCACCCAGAAGTTATTCAGAAACAAGTTGTTCAATTTCCAGCCTGTGGTCAATCTTAGAATATGGTCTATGTCCAGATGATAAGAATATATATTCTGTGGTTTTTGGGTAGAGTGTTCTGTAGATGTCTATTAGGTCCAATTGGTCAAGTGTCAAGTATAAGTCCAGAGTTTCTTTGTTAGTTTCCTGCCTTGATGATCTGTTTAATGCTTTCAGTATGGTGTTAAAGTTCCCCACTATTATTGTGTGGTTGTCTAAGTCTTTTTGTAGACCAGGAAGAACTTATTTTATGACTCTAGGTGCTCCAATGTTGGACAGCCAATGAAATAGAAAACAATCCTAAAGGCATCTAGAGAAAAGGGTCAATTTATGTATGGAGGGAAAACCATCAGGTTAGCAGCAGACTAAATTAACATAGTTAAGGCTTCTTGTTGGATTGTACCCTTTATCGTTATGCAATGTCCTTCATTGTTCTTAATTTTCGTTAAAATCTGAAGTCAATATTGAGAGGTTTTCTGTTCTAGAAGTTCAGTTTAGTTCTGTATTAAAATGGTTGTTTTATCTAACTTAAGAATAGCTATTCATGTTTTTTTTTTGTTTTCTTTTTGCCTGCTTGATATTTCTCCATTATTTTACTTTGAGCCTGTGAGTGTCATCACATCTGAGATGGGTCTCTTGAAGACAACAGATGGTAGGGTTTGTCTTTTTTATCCAGCCTGCTACTCTATGTTCTTTAAATGGGGCAATTAGCTCATTTACATGCAAGGTTGATAATTATATCTGTGATTTTAATCCTGTCATCATGTTGTTTGCTAGTTGTTAGGTCGACTTGATTGTGTAGTTGATTTAGCATAACTGTGGGCTATGTGCTTGTGTGTTTTTGTGGTAGCAGGTGTCACTCTTTTGATCCCATGCTTAGCGTTCTCTTAGGAACCTCCCATAAGGCTGATCTAGTTGTAATGTATTCCTTCAGCATTTGCTTGTCTGAGAAAGATTTTATTTCTCCTTTATGTATAAAGCTTAGTGAGGCAGCATATGAAATTCTTGGTTGGAATTTCTTTTCTTTTAGGTCACTAAAAGTAGGCTCCCAGTCTCTTCTGGCTGAGAGGTCTGCTACTAACCTGAGGGTATTCCCTTTCTAGATAACTTGACCCATCTTTCTAGCTGCATTTAAGATTGTTTTCTTTTGCATTGACCTTGGTTAATCTGTTGACTATGTGCCTTGTATAATATCTAGACTGGGTTCTCTGCATTTCTTAGATTTGCATATCAACCTCTCTAGTGAGATTAGGGGAATTTTTGTGGACTATATCCACAAATATATTTTCCAAGCTGCATATTCTCTCTTCTTCTCTCTCAGAAATGCCAATGGGTTGTAGGTTTGCTCTCCTTATATAACCTCACATTTTGTGGAGGTTTTTTCATTTTTCTTAATTCTTCTTTTCTAAAATTTTTGTCCCACTGAGTTTTATCAAAGAACTGATCTTCTGGCTCTGAGATTTTTTTCCTCAGCATGGTCTATTCTGCTGTTAATACTTCCTAGTGTATTATGAAATTTTTCAGCTGTAGAAGTTCAGTTAGGTTCTTTCTTAAAATTGCTATTTCATCTTCCAACTCTTAGATCATTTTACTGGATTCTTTAGTTTCCTTGGATCAGGTTTCTATTGTCTCCTAAATCAGTGAGTTTCCTTACCATACAAATTCTGAATTCTGTGTCTGTCATTTCAGTTGTTTCAGAATGGTTATGAACTATTGCTGGGGAGCTATTATACTTGTTTGGGGGTAAGGGGACTGATATGCTTTGGCTGTGTCCCCACCCAAATCTCATCTTGAATTGTAGCTCTTATAATTACCATGTGTTGTGGGAGGGACCTGGTGGGAGATAATTGAATTGTGGGGCAGTTTCCTCCATACTATTCTCATGATAGAGAGTAAGTATCATGAGATCTGATGCTTTTATAAGGGGGAACCCCTTTTGCTTGGGTCTCATTTCTCTCTTTGCTTGCTTCCAAGTAAAATGTGCCTTTGGTCTTCCCTTGCCTTCCACCATGATTGTGAGACCTCTTCAGCTATGTAGAAAGGAGGTCCATTAAACCTCCTTTTCTTTATAAATTACCCAGTCTTGGGTATGTCTTTATCAGCAGCATGAGAACAGACTAATACAGTAAATTGGGACTAGGAGTAGGGTGCTGCTGTAAAGATACCGACAGATATGGAAGCGACTTTGGAACTGGGTAACAGGCAGAGATTGGAACATTTTGGAGGCTCAGAAGAAGATAGAAAAATGTGAGAAAGTTTGGTACTTCCTAGAGACTTGGAGGGCTCAAATGACAGGAAAATTTGGGAAAGTTTGGAACTTCCTAGAAACTTGTTGAATGGCTTTGACCAAAATGTTGATAATGATATGGACAATGAAATCCAGGCTGAGATGATCTCAGATCTCCATCTGAGATGAGGAGCTTGTTGGGAATTGGAGTAAAGGTGACTCTTGCTACGATTTAGCAAAGAAACTGGTGGCATTATGCCCCTGCCCTAGAGATCTTTGAAAATTTGAACTTGAGGGAGATGATTTAGGGTATCTGGTGGAAGAAATTTCTAAACAACAAAACATTCAAGAGGTGACTTGGGTGCTATTAAAAGCATTCAGTTTTAAAAGGAAACCAGAGCATAAAAGTTCAGAAAATTTGCAGCTTGATGATGGGATAGAAAAGAAAAACCTATTTTCTGAGGAGAAATTCAAGCCAGCTGCAGAAACTTGCATAAGTAATGAGGAGCCAAATATTAATCCCCAAAAATGTCTCCAGGGCATGTCAGAGGTCTTCAGGGAAGCCCCTCCCATCACAGGTCCAGAGTCCGAGGAGGAAAAACTGGTTTCATGGGCCAGTCCCAGGACCACCCTGCTCTCTAAAGTCTAGGGACTTGGTGACCTGGATTCCAGCTGCTCCAGCGATTGCTAAAAGGGGCCAAGGTACAGTTTGGGCTGCTGCTTCAGAGGGTGCAAGCCCTAAGCCTTGGCAGCTTCCACATGGTATTGAGCCTGTGGGTGCATGGAAGTCAGGAATTGAGGTTTGGGAACCTCTGCCTAGATTTCAGAGGATGTATGGAAACGCCTGGATGCTCAGGCAGAAGTTTGCTGCAGGGGCAGGGCCCTCATGAAGAACCTCTGCTAGGGCAGTGTGGAAGAGAAATGTGGGGTCAGAGCCCCCACAAAGAGTCCCTGCTGGGACACCACCTAGTGGAGCTGTGGGAAGAGGGCCACTGTCCTCTGGACCCCAGAATGGTAGATCCACTGACTGCTTGCACCATGTACCTGGAAAAACCAGACACTCAACGCCAGCCTGTGAAAGCAGCCAGGAGGTAGGCTGTACCCTACAAAGCCACAGGGCAGAGCTGCTCAGACCATGGGAACCCACCTCTTGCATCATCATGACCTGGATGTGAGACATGGAGTCAAAGGAGATCATTTTGGAGCTTTAAGATTTGACTGCCCTGCTGGATTTCAGACCTGCATGGGGCTGGTAGCTTGTTTGCTGTGGTCAATTTATCCCATCTGAAACAGCTCTATTTACTCAATGCCTGTACCCCCATTGTATGTAGTAAGTAACTAACTTGCTTTTTATTTTACAGGCTCATAGGTGGAGGGTACTTGCCTTGTCTCAGAAGAGACTTTGGACTGTGAACTTTTGAGTTAATGCTGAAATGAGTTAAGACTTGGGGGACCATTGGAAAGGCATGATTGGTTTTGAAATGTGAGGACATGAGATTTGGGAGGGGCCAGAGGCAGTATGATATGGTTTGGCTGTGTCCCCACCCAAATCTCAACCTGAATTGTAGCTCCCATAATTCCCATGTGTTGTGGGAGGGACCTGGTGGGAGATAACTTGATCATGGGGCAGTTTCCTCCATACTGTTCTTGGTAGTGAATGGTAGTGAATAAGTCTCAGAAGATCTGATGGTTTTATAAGGGAAAAACCCCTTTTGCTTGGTTCTCATTTCTCTCTTCGCCTGCTGCCATGAAAGACATGCCTTTGTTCTTCCCTCACCTTCCGCCATTATTGTGAGACCTTTCCATCCATGTGGAACTGTGAGGCCATTAAACCTCCTTTTCTTTATAAAGTACCCAGTCTTGGGTGTGTCTTTATAGCAGCTTGAGAACAGACTAATACAGGGGCTCTGGCTTTTTGTACTGACAGAATTAATTCTTGTGTTAATTCTTTCTCATTGGGGAGAGTTAGTGTTCTTTTAACTGTGGTCTAAGTTGAGTATAGTCAGTTGGCTTTGCCTCTGGATGCTTTCAGAGGGCCAGTGCTCTCTATAGGATTTTTATGTGTGAATGAATTAGTGTGCTTGGTTTCACAGGTGTCTATATTATCAGAATAAATTTTTGGTGTTGTAGTTTGAACTGTAATCCAATAGATGACACTTAGGAGTAATGACCCATAGCTAGATTAATGCCCAGCCTGTGGGCTCTTTTGTACTTCCTCACATTAGCAAGCATCCTTGACAGTGGGGTAGTAGGGGAAAGAGATAGCCCCCTCACCAGGTTTGCTCCTGGGCCTTGGGGGAGCCCCCTCCAGATAGCTGGTGCTGCTCCTGCATTTCTTTTGTCAGATATTCTCAGCTATGGTGGCACCTTGGGCAGAGACTGTGGCAGGGAGATATGCCACACTCTCTTTGGATCATCCCTATGGAGGGAGGCATGCACTGCACCCACCCTACCCAGAAGCCCACGCATCTTGTTTCTCTCATTGCTCCGAGGGATAGGTCTTCTCCCCTGCTTGAGTATCAGCCACAGATCTTGGCTCTGTACTCCTGAGTTGTGCACTGCAGCCCTGGGGGCAGTGGGACATCTTGGGGTTCAGCTTCCAGTTCCAACTCTCCTGGGGGATCTTATATGCTCCTGGGTCACCCAAAAACATTCAGGTGCAGCAACATACTCAGGTTGGGCTGTGGGGGCTGCACTGTGCACCCACTCCTGCACCTCTCCTGCAGGATGACTAGGCATGGACCCTGGGAGGGACCAGCAGGCATGAAGCCTTGTAGAGCAGATGTGCCTCAGTCTCATAGGGAAGCTAGCCCCACTGTCTCCTGGCTTGGAGATCAGCTGGGGCTCTGCCTTCTGGAGGAGAATGGGGATCTCTGAGGAATTGGCATCTATGGCCGTTGTCTGCTGGACTTGCCTGGCTCACAAAAGCTCCCAGGTCCCTTGCTGTCCAAAGGCCTGTCTCTGCCTGTTCCCCAGGGAAATCCACTGCCAGCTCACACATCCATGGGGGATACAAGGTCCCCTGTAGCTAGGATCTTACAGGTCTGTTGCAAGCGTAATGCACCCGTCAGTTCCCTCACTCACCCCTTTCCCAGGAGCCATTTGGGGCCAGGAACTAACCCTGGCATGTGGACACCCCACACAGGGTTCTCACCTTCCTCCCTCTTCAACCTGGTCTTCAGCATTGCCTCTCCATCCACTCTTACTTTTTTTATCTCCAAAGATCTGCCCAAATTATGATGGTTTACTCAATAATTTGGTCTCTCTTGTTGGGAGTGGTGCTTCTTGACTGCATCTAGTTGGCCATCCTGTGCCCTATCCCCTGATGTGAATGATGTTTTTTTCCTGTAATACAAATTGGTAATAACAGAACATTTTAAGGGAGCACTGCTAAAGTTTCAGGAAAATCTTTGCAACAGTGGGCAAATGAAGGACATATGGTGACTCTGGTAGAGATAACTCCAGGGCCAGCCAGTGAACAAGGAAGCCATTACAAACAAGGCAATGGGTGCCAATTATGCTGACAAACACTGCTGACATAGGGGAGTTGGAAAACAAAGTTTTGCTCCTGAGAAACATACACATTACAGCATAACACTCTTATTACAGCATTAAAGAAGGTTGAGGAGCAGTATACTTAAAACCAATGTGCCAAAAAAGAATGTTCCAGACTCTTTGGGATGCATCTCATTTTGATTCCTCTAAAGTAGTGCACATGGATTTTTTTTTCTGTGCATTGCTTGAAAGTAAAGGCGACAGTCGCACGAAGTGAAGCATAAGTTGTCTGTTTAGTTCTTTCATGTATTCTGAACATATATATCAGTTTCTGGCACACAGTAGGCTCTCAATAAGTATTTGCTGAATGAATGAATGAATCAATAGATCACTGCATGTGAGCAGTCTTCAGTAATCACGCACTTAGCAGTGCATTTATTTAACACATAAATATAGCATCTACTTTTAGTACAAATGGAAAAGACTTCAGGAACAATTTGGTCTAAACTCCTCATTTTGTAAATGAAAATGAGGTCCTAAGAAAAGACACGGTTTAACCAAGGCTACATAGAAGCTGGAAATCTAGGCAAAAATAGAGAAAAGGATTATTGGCTACTAGTTCAGGTTTTGTCCTCCACTTCTTCCTTTTGTATCTATAATGTAACTAAGCAATATCTATAATTTGATCAAAGGAGACCTCTAGAAAAGAAGCAGCAATTGATTGTTGTATACATATTTAAAACTTAAGCCAATCTTGGGTTAAGCCATATTTAAAACTTAAGGACAATCTTGGGTTGTCCATTTTTCTTCTAAAGCTTAGGCTCAATGACTGCTACTGTCCTTTCTGTCTCTATGCTTCTTCATTTAAATGCCACATCAGTGTATGGGGATGGGCTTTGATTACACATGTATGTGCTTATCCTTTCCTCTTTGTAACAGAGTGGGTTGATGTAGATTGTCTTGATTTTTGAAACAAAATTGGGATTTACAGAAGGTAAAATGGATAATTTAAGATTACACTTGCACAGTACAAGACTTATTGCTAGAGACTGAAAGCTCACTTCTTTCTCTCAGAGGCAGCCAGATGCTGTTGAGCAGAGCTGTGGGCTGTACATATTCCTGTGTGCTATTTAGCATGTTTGTCTGATCTAATTTGTATGAAACTAGTGTGCAGAGTGAAAGGGGTGACTACTTCCCCAGAAGGTAGAATACTAATGAGTTTCTTTGTTATGTCACTTCATATACATTCAGGCTGATTTTCAAGTTTTATTAGATCATACAATTTTGGAGAATGTATCAAAAGGTAGTTAAGAAGGTGGGTTTTGGACTTAGACAAGCCGGGACTTGAACCATATCTCTAACATATCTTTAGCATACATGTGTAAAATGAAGAAAATAATATGAACAAGTAAATAATAATAAACAAGTATTTATTACTTTTAAATAAAGTAATATCCACCAAGTGCTTAGCATAATACCTCTTCCATATGCCATCTTTTTTTGAATTATTATTGTTCAAATTTTCTATTTTATAAGTGAGAAAAATTGGAAAATCAGGGAGCCACTTCATGCACATGACTAGAGACTCTAAGACTCGGAATTAGTTTTCTGGTTCCATAGATTTCAGCCCGTTGTTATCATTGTTTGAGGTTGCATCAACTCAAGGTGGGTGAAGAACAGGTGGAAGTGTATTGTCAGAGTCTTTCCTTTCCTTTTACTTCCATGCACCTGGTTCTTTAGGGAAAGAGAAAACCTTGCTGACTCTGGCCTTTCAGTATCACCCATCTCTCCTGCCCTGCCTATGCTGAGTTAAAGAGTTAAAGACTGTGAGTGGGACATTACTATGGACTCCTACAATTGAGGAATTAGTATGTGGCCAATTTCTCCATCATTCTATAATTGATAGAATAGAAAAATAGTACAGCATTGAATAAGAGGGGGAAAATGTTTTCCATAATGAATATATTTATGGGTTTATGAATTTGGCCACTTTAAGTGAAAGGGAGGCATAGTGTACAATTGAATGTCCCATGGCATTATTTATTCAAGATAAAACTAAAATTATTGTTACCAGCTTCTTTTCACATGAGGAAAACACAGACATAACGGAATTATGCTTATTGCTTACATAAGGAAAGATACTATAATAGCACCAGATCGATGAACATGTGAGGCATGTCATCAGACAGATTCATACAAGATAGTCCAGTATTTGTTTTACATGTTCAAAAAATACTTGTGAGCTGGGCACAGTGGTTCACGCCTGCAATCTCAACACTTTGAAAGGCTGAGGAGAGAGATACTTGAGGCCAGGAGCTTGAGACCAGCCTGGTCAACATAGTGAGACCCGATCTCTATAAGAAATAAAAATATTAGCCAGATGAGGCAGTGTGTGCCTGTAGTTCTAGCTACTCGGGAAGCTGAGGCAGGGAAAAAACTTCAGCCCAGGAGTTAAAGAATGCAGTGAACTATGATCATGCCACTGTACTCCAGCCCAGGAAATAGAATGAGATCTCATCTCTAAAACAAACAAACAAACAAAAAGAAAAATAACTTGTGGCAGCACTGGTATGGCCTAGAACCAAATTCTAATTCAGGCTATGCCATTAACCAACTATGAGCTTCAGCAAGTCAACAAACCTCCCCAGGCCTTCGTTTCCATATCTGTATAATTCGACCCCTGAACTACATGATTGTTAAAATCTCTTTCCATTCTAAAAGGTGTTTGGTCAACAGTGAACTAGATTCTACTGCAGTTTCTTCTATGTTCTTCAATTTAATTTCAATTTCACAAGCATTTTTGAGTACCATATTAGGTACTAAAGTTACAAAGATGAAAACAAATAAATTACTCATGGTTGTAGAGGAGACAGATATATAAACAAATAGCTATAATATATTGTGTAATAAGTATAATAAGAAAAGAACATATAAAGTATAGCACCATGATCAAATATGGATTGATTCAGGAGAAGAAGCAGACGGCCAGGAGGAAGTGATATTTAAGCTGGACTTAGAAGGATGAATAGGAGTTTACTATAAAAAAAAAAAAGGAAGAAAGGCAGAAGGAATAGGTCACACAAAAACGACAAAGGTATAAAATTGCCTGAAACATTCATAAAACAACAGGTAGCTCAATATTACAGGAGTTTAGCATTATAAGAGGGGCCAGTATGCATGTCAGGAGATGAGTTGTGACAGGTTAGCCAGAATAAAATGGTGAAGAGCCTTGTAACACAGACTTCAAAGGATAGTTTTTGTTTTTTTTTTTTTTTTTTTTTTGAGACTGAGTCGCCCAGGCTGGAGTGCAGTGGCAGGATCTCGGCTCACTGCAAGCTCCACCTCCCGGGTTCACGCCATTCTCCTGCCTCAGCCTCCTGAGTAGCTGGGACTACAGGCGCCCGCCACCATGCCTGGCTAATTTTTTTGTATTTTTAGTAGAGATGGGGTTTCACCTTGTTAGCCAGGATGGTCTCCATCTCATGACCTCGTGATCCTCCTGCCTTGGCCTCCCAAAGTGCTGGGATTACAGGCGTGAGCCACTGCGCCCGGCCAAGGATGGCTTTTATCTTGCAGTTTTTAGAGAATCCAATTTTAATGACTATTTTTATGCCTTTTAATACAAAATGTACTGTGTAGAAAATTTGATATGTCATATATTTTGCAAATGTAGCCTTTGTGATTATACATGTGTAAACGAGTATGCAGATATAGATTTAGTGTCTTGTTCAGCCTCAGATCCTGTTAAATATTTGTGTAGTAGCTGAAGGGACAGGAAACACATTTAGAAGATACTCTGGCCAGTAAGTTAGTTTATTGCCTTCTCCTAGGGCTCTATAACTGTCACTGACTTTGATTTTCTAGAAAGCTTTCTGGAAATTGTTAACAAAGATATTGGGAATGTTACATATATATATATAAAACATATACAATATATAATATATAGTATATACTATATATAGTGTATACTATATATATTATATCATATATACTATATATTATATACTATACATAATATATAATATATGCTATATATAATATATATATATACATATAATATATCCATGCTAATATATATTAGCATGGACAGGATTGTATTCGTCTCTAAGATGATCTTTGTTAGATTGGGGCATAAACATCTCAGTTAATCTGTTTCACTGGAAATGAGGAATGCAGCACAGCATCCCTAGGGGACTCAGCTTCAGGCCAGTCAGGGCACAAATAAAATGCCTTAAGTGCGTGTTTTCTTGGGATCAAAGTCTCCTAGCCCTTGGGCAAAAATAGCCAACACATCTGCTCCAGGAAGACATGAACCAGCAAGTTGGAGAAGCAGCATTTCATGCTTAGACTCAGGTCAGTGGATGAAGGTCATTTCTGAAACAAAACAATATTTTATGCCTATGGCTCAACTTCAAAAGACAAAGAAAAATTTTTGTTCGTTACATATATTACAACATCCTAAATGTTTTCTGTGCCAAAATAGAAGCAGAAAAGGAAAATGATTCATATATGTTTTAGTCAAAGCCTATCTTAAAAGTGCACACCTGGGCGCATAACAGATATTCACAAAATGATAGTTATGATGACCATGAAGATGTTTGTCACTGGTGTTTCTCATCCTTTTTTCCTTGCATTCCTCAGACTGCCACCATTGAGGCATCTCTAGCCTCCTTACTTTCTCTATAGGCAAAATTTGCCATCCTATCACCTTGTTTCCTTTAATCCAAGTGTATGCATCCCATTCATGGCTGCTGTAGTCCCTATGGGGTGCCCGAATAGGTAATATATGTCTAAACATGCATAGTATGCCATCAGCTGCAGGCCAGCTTTTGCTCAGGGTATTACAAAGAAATAATAATTGTGAGGATTTCAAACCCAGTGCCATGTCAGCAGGATGTGTTGTAATAGACTAGAGTCTTGCTACTGAAATTGTGCTCTGTGGACGGACACCAATAACATCACTTCTAAGTGCAATAAAATTCAGAACTTCAGCCCCATCCTAGAAGACTGAAGGTGATTCTTATGCACATAAAACTTTGGTAAGTCCTCCTTTAGATTTTAGGCATTAAGAGATCCTGGCCCAAAGTAGGCACTTGGTTTGTGTTTATTTTCTACCCTGACAGGTTTGGAGGATCTTCTGAGCTATTGAAACCCTACTACCCCTTCCAGCACCGATGGCACACTGCAGATAACCTTTCTGATTAGGTATTCTGATTAGGTAAAAGAAAAATTAAAAGGAACACTCAGAGAACCTCTGCTTGGATTCGTGACTGTAGTTTGTGGCATTCGGGAGACTAAAAGTTTTCTTAGGAAATCTTTCAAGTGAGTCTGACATTGCATCTGATTAATTTTTTTTTTTTTTTATTCCAGAGGATAACAGGCTGTTTATCTAGGACCTATAAACTACATTTTGTGCTCCTTCAGGCAGGTTTGCCATGACAAAAAAGTGTGAAATAGCATTTTGTGTTCAGGAAACTAATATGATTCAGTGACCTTGGTGGAGAGTAGAGAATCAAGGCTGAGAAAAACATCAGGAACAGGACCATGGTAGGGTGAATATACTACATAAGGTGTTTTTTGGGAGGATCCTGGGTGGAGGGGCCAGGGGGTGGTCAGATCATGTGACTTTTAGGAAAATATTTTGATACCACAGAATGCCAGTTAGCAAAATATTCTCATAGTCAAGATAAAAGGTAGTTAATTACTTTTAAATTCTGGTAAGGGAAGAAAGATGGAGAGGAATAGATGTTTTAAGATATCATGGGAAGGTAGAGTTGAAAGATATTAGTGACAGATGTGGATGTAGTGGTTTTGGAAAAGGAAGAGTCAAGATGACTCCCAGGTTTCAGCATTGCTTAAAATGATTTTGCCATTTTCTAAAATAAGGCCTACAAGTGAATAAATTAGTTTTCGAGGAAAGGTAATTTCAACTTTGTCCATTTCTGGTGCAGCATTTCTAGGGTACATCCTTATAAAACAATTTAGTGATTGAATATATGTGTCTAGGTTCAATATAAGGGTGGGGCTGATTTTACGTATGTCCTGTAGATGTAATGGACTCAGTCAATCTTTAGTCTTTCTTCTAAATCACTGGACTACTTCTCTACCGAGGGGCCATTTCATTACCTCCTCCAATGTTCTGCTTGCTAAGAGCATGGCACATTGGGTTCTATTCCTTAGAAATGGAATAAATAACTCTTCTTTTTCTTAGGTGTTTGACTTTGGAATAGTGACTTTAATTTTGAGGTCCAAGGTCTTCATCCTTAAACTGTGTTATGAGGATCAAACATAAATTTGTTGGAGAGAGTATGTAGCACAGGGTCTGAAAATTATAGCTGCTCAATAAAAGCCAGTTTCCTGTCCCTCCTTTTTTTCTGTTAATAGAGGTGTTTTAAATACCTTGGCAGTAAATAATTCCCAATCTTCTGCCTAATTACTTTCAGAAAAGAATTGAGTGACTTCTCTTCCCCAAGCTCATAGTGTTACCTTACATTTCAAGGAACATCTGCTTCAAGGAGAAAAGGTTTGGATGGAATCACCGTGTACTGTGGAATAGTATTTCATTTTACACAATAGTAATAGAGACCTTGCTGATTTTAATTGTGCCACTGGCTGTGTGATCTCAAGCAACCTCTCTGGCCCTCCTTTTCTGTAAAAATGGCTACTAGTTGATTATAAGTTTTTTGTACATATGAAATAATACCAATAGAGTTATGTTTAATTCCTGAACTTCAAACCATTTTTCTGACTAGGCTCAGGAAGCTAGTGTGTCCCAGCATATCAATGGAATGTTTGCAATCACTAGAGCTAATTAGGAGTCAAGATATCTGGCAGAGCTTATTAGCCCAGGCTCCTTGTGGTGCTTTCGCCAGTGAAGCTTGATTGGCTTGAGCCTTGGATGATGAACAAAGCTACTTTGTTGTGTGTTTTTGGCATTTTCTATTGCCTGTTTCAAATCCTATACAACAAATTGGTGGATCTCAAAATCCAGCACCTGGACCAGCAGTATTAGCGCTACCAGGGATTTTTTTTTTTTTTTGAGAAATGAAGAAAACTCAGGCTCCAACTTAGAGCCACTGAGTCAAAAATTCTGTGGGTGGAGACCAGAACTCTAGTTCAAGAAGCCTCTAGGCGATTCTAATGAAGACTAAAGTTGAAGAACCATTGCTTGTTAGTCAAAACCACCAGCATCAGCGTCACCTGAAGCTCATTAGAAAATGTAGACTCTCAGGCTTACTCCAGACCTAATGAATTAAAATCTGTAGTTTAACAAGATACACAGGTGATTCATGTACACATTAAAGTATAAGAAAGACTGAGTGCAGTGGTTCACACCTGTAATCTCAGCGCTTTGAGAGGCCAACGTGGGAGGATTGTGTAAGCCCAAGAATTCAAGACCAGCTTGGGAAACATGGTGAGACCTCTATCTCTACAAATAATAAAAAATTTGGCCAAGCATGGTGGTGCACACCCATGGTCCCAGTTACTCAGGAGGCTAAGACAGGAGGATCAATTGAACTTGGGAGGCTAAGGCTGCAGTGAGCCATGATCATGCCACTGTACTCCATCCTGGGTGACAGAGTGGGATCCTGTCTCAGAGTTTAAGAAGCATGACTCTAGACAGAATTATCATTACATGTAGACAGATCCCTTGTCTAATTAGAGGGTCTCTACATGCTCAAGATTGTATTATATTTATTCCAAAATTATCCCTATATCTATCCATAGTTCCCACTTATGCCCTTTTTAAAAGTGAGCCTTAGAAAATTCAATAAGGTACCCTTAGAAAAAGATAGCTAGAATTTTGGCTTTAAGCAATAAATATCTGACCAATTATCAATCTTTATTAACAGAAATTTAGATCATTGTTTCATTCTCACTGCTATATATACTCAGTTGTATAGATATCTCGCCAACAACCCTCCCATACCATAAGTAAAACCTGTTGATTTAAAGCTGTTTTCCTAAGTAATTTGTCTAAAGATATTATGTTAATATTTTTCCAGGAACAGGACTGCATTTTAAATCATTGTAATATATACATATTCATACATGCTACTTTATATATGTTAGGAATAATTAATTTCCTTTTTTATTTTTTCCTTGCATCTTAAATTTGTTAAAAGAGCTCTCATGATAGTTATGTATTAATTAAAATTTCAAGACTGCCAAACAAATACATTTATTTCTTTGTATACATTGTTGCTTTATCATCTGCATTTGATAATTCTAGTTTTTCAAGTCTCTTTGGTTCGAATTCTTTCATTTTTGTTCTCGTTTGAACTTACAGAATCCAGTTTCTTGTGTTCCCTATTATCGTTGAATATATATTCAATATTGCATGTGAAAAATTGCAAGATTGATTTGTGATTATGTAGACAGCTTCCTCTAAAGGAGATATCATTTGGTTCTGTCAAGCACCAAAGCACATTACTAGTCAGTAACTTCTTAAACCAAGTTTAGGTTTTGAAATTCCCTGATCCAAGAAAGTTAAGCCTGGGATCAAATTCCCCATGTAATAACTGCCTCAATTTCTGTTCTCCTTAACCTTGATGGCACAACCTTTAGGGAATCCCAGCTTGGAGTAGAGATGCTCAAATCTAAATCTGCTAAAATATATTTTATGCTGGTTCTGAATTCTAAGTTACATTGCTCTCACCTCACAAAATGGACAAAACTAGGAGTCTAATTTTATATTATCAGCAAATGCTCTCAGGGCAAAAGTGGCTTCAGTGTTTGCCTCTCAGTCTGGGTCCTTGTTTTCTCTTCACTTTTGGCTTGGCTCTTCCTTACTGCCTTTCCATAATGCTTTTATGAAAGATTTAATTTTTTTTAATTAAAAATGTTTGTCTAGCTATATATTTCTGTGACGTGGCATGAGTGATCTGAATAGCTTCACTGACCGTTACAGAAACAGGTGGGCTCCCTCTCTGTTTTTAACTATGTCCAAAAATAATGGGATTCTGCTGATATTAGGAACTTCAGCATCTATATGAAATCTGCTTTTTTCATAAATGAGATATCTATTTTGAGAACCTCTTAACAAGAGGACCTGGCAGGTCATAGCTACCTCATATTTCAGGTATTTGCAGAGAAGGTGCATAAAGGAGGAGAGTTACTATGACCGAAGGAGAAAGATGCTCTAAAATGAGCTCACGGATTGGCTTCCATCTGGGTGTTCTGCTGCTGCTTTCAACTCAGTCTCCTCTCTCTAGCATTAATTGTCATCTGTTTTTTTTCCTCCAGTGTCCTTACTTTCTATTCTTCACTATACTATTGTGCCTCTTTGGCTTTCTTTCTTTCTCTCTACTCGGATTTCTTTCTTTCTGTGCCACTAAACTCATTGTTTTTCTTTGTGCTGCCTGCGTTGGCTTTCTGATGGTTACTTTCTGTGTCATTTACTTAGTTATTTTTCCTCTTCACCTGTGATATCTGGGCTATTTTTATACTAATCTAAATATTATTTCTTTCCTTTAGAAATACTTTTTTATGTGTATGTGGGCGGTGGGGAGGGGGGAGAGGAGGTAAGAGAAAAAGACTAAAAAGATGTCCCTCTACAAGAAAATAATTAATATCCCTTTCTATGAGCTGCTTCTACTTGCTTTTACTTCAAGATATCCCCATTTATATCAACTCACCCATAACAAGATCCATTAAAAGGTTTAGTTGACTTGCTAGCACATCATTAAACATCCATTTCAGTTATGTGTGTACTATCACTACATGTACATAATTATTGCTAGCTACAGTGCTAGCTAGCTGGATTTATTCTTCCTAACAAAACTTATTCTGTCTCCTATAATGTCAGTAGCAGCTACACACCCAATCCTCATAGCTGCCAACAGCAACCATTTCTGATTTCCAGACCCTCCCTTAGAAACGGCAACAACATAAAAATAGGATCCATTAAAAACATCTTGATTTAAAAGCATTTTGATTTTCTGGAACGAGTCTGTTCTTCTGATCATGAAAACAGATTATCCATGTCTCCTTATTTCAATACATAAACGCTTTCTTCTTCAGAATGACCCCCCACTTCACCAGCTGCATGAGGTTGTCAGTGAGTTAATTGACGATTCTAACTCTAAAGTTAAATTGTCTGATTAACTCCATGGAGCAATGTCAGAAATGTCAGAGGAAGGAGTCATAGCTATGGAAAGAATACAGCTCTGAAATTTAGAAACATGGCTTTTATTTTTGGCTGTTACTAACTAGTTGTAATCTGGACAAATTATTTAATCCTCTATGTCTGTTTCCTTTCTCATAGGATGAAATGGTTTGGTGAACTGTTAATCAAGTTACTCAACATACATGATAATGATAGAAAATTCTTATTTATATAATGTGAAACAAACTCTGCAAAATGCCATATATTCCTTATTTATTTCATTTATCATTTTAAGAACTCAGTAAAGTAAGCATACTTACTATCTACTAATCAGGAGATTAAAACTCAGATTATGCAGTTTTCAAAATGAAATATAGTTAATACATGTCAGGGCCAGGTTTCAAATCAAATTGTTCAACTTTTTGACTTTGCATTACACTTCTCTTCTATTCTTAGCATGATTACGGGCCACCTCCTTTTAGCTACCTGTTATTATTTAATAGTGTTCCCTAAAATGTCATCTAAAACTAAAATGATACATATAGCCAAATGCTAATTATATAGCAGTAGGAGAGGTATTCAGGAAATTGGTCAGTTTTCTTTTTCTTCCCAGTTCCTGTGAGTCATTGCTCTTTGTGTGAAATAAGATGCCCTCAGGTGAATAGCTAACATTGTTAGAAAAACATGGTCAACCATGAGCAATCATGACAATAAGGATTTTCCTGTCAAGCAGTACTTTTGAATTAGACACAAGACCATTGTTAAGCAGTGGGGAGTCCAGTTGCCTGGCTTCTTTACTTAAATGTGTAACTATGCATACTCACTGTTACCCACTGAAAGCCAATTAGTATTTGCAATCTGAAGAGTCATCTTTGGGGAGCAAATTTCTAACTGGATAACTGAACAAAATAACTCAGTATCATCTATAAATTTCATGATGCTTGTTTGACTAAGGAAGCTTTAATGAATAACTATAATGACAAATTATTTTTCTTACATATATATTAGGCTTTATAATCCAAGAACTTCTTAGAAAATGACACTTTAATGTTTTTTCTTATCAAGGAATATCTATTCTTTTGGCATCTGTGTGATAAATACAGAATGTTTCTCAGCTCATACGTTTTCTGGTAAAAGATCTGTGACCGTGACTGTCGGTGAGGGGAATGGGGAATTAGAAAAAGAAATAACACTTTAAGGGAGACGTGGACTGTGACTAAGGAATAGAAAGGCAAAGCCAAAAATGGATGAGGATTCATTACTAAAAATGTCAGCAGGATAGTCAATAAAAGCTGAGTGGTCTACAGTGTAGTCTTTAAGATCATATTTTAAGCCTAAAAACAAAGATTTTTATAAACTTTTATTGATCCATAGCTCAGTTGGGAGAAAAATGCACGGTTATATCTATAGTAAGACAAAACTAAACCAACTCACTGCAGACAGGAAATGATTTATCAGTTCGAAAAGGACCAACAAAACTAAGGCACATTCAACTTTGTACTTCTAAACTAAGCACTAATTAAAAACCACCAGCTGTTCCTTGAACAATATGTCCGGCTAATTCAGATGACCTTAAATGTTGTTGCCCAAATACATTAAAAGTTAATTTTTCCCTGCTTCTCAAAGTGTTCCTTATGTTCTGCCATATCCCAAAAAGAAGTTGGTGATTACTGGAGAGGGTATGGTCACTATTTTCTCTTAGTCTGATGAAGTTTGTCATACTTTATCCCCAGGGAAAGTAAAAAAAATCTGTTGATTCCTTACAATTCTCTAAAGGAGTAAATCTAAGCAACTGTGCAGAATTTGATAGAATTAGAAAGCAATGAGTTTCTCTCTCTCACTAACTCAAACTTATTAATATAATATTATACTGTAGTCAAAAACTTCTAGTAGATATGATTGTAAGAAGTCAAGATAGCAAAAGCATTTTATGCCATTTTGGAATTGATTTTTACCTATGTTTTGTATAGAAAGTTATTTTTCATGACATTGAGCCACTAATAGTTACTTCCATGAGCAGGAGTTCATAAATATTCAAAATGTGCTGGGAGTAATTTCCTGATTTTTGCTTTCTTTTAGAGCTCTTGCCTGTGCTGCCAAAAGTCATTAGTGACTAGGTTAGTGAATTGGGCAAGAGTAGATTCTCATCAGAGCTCCTGAGGGTCAGATATCATAGTCATTGTCTTTGTTGCAAAGCATTGACTGAAGAGTAAAAAGAAATAGATAAGCACAATTGGTCCTGTTCATTTCTTTCAGTGATCTCAGGAATCTTAAGAGCAGCTATAGAAACAAAGTTATAGGGTGAATTTTGATGACCATCATGTAAGGTCAAGAATCCCATGTTGTCATTCTAAAGAGCAGATGGTAACTCATTTATTTTATAAATATTTATTGAGTACCACTCTATCATGCATTTTTTTATGTTCTGGAGCTAAAGCATCAATCAAGACAGTCAAGGTCAAAATTCTCATGTAAGGCATAGAGAGAAAAAATAAAAATAAATAAGAAAAATACTAGACAACTGTAAGCACTATACACAAAATTAAAATAGGGTAATAGAGAGTGATTTGGAGGCCACTTGAGACGAGAATAAGAAAGACTTCTTGGAGGAGGTGACATTTCAGTGATACCCATATTAAACAGAAGAAGTTTCTAATCAAAGAGAACAGTTAGTAGACCTGTTCTATCTGTCAGAAACTAAGACTCTAAGGCAAACCCTACATAGTAGGTAATAGAAAGAAAAATATGATTGGAGCATGTGGTGGAAGGTAAGTCCTACAAGGTAGGCAGAGGCCAGGTCATGATATTCTTTTTAAGTGTGTATGGATTTAATTCTAAGACACTAGGAAGCTTTAAATAGGAGAGTTATGTTATCTGATTAACATTTAGCCAGATTACCTCAGCTCCTGAGTAAAGAAGGCATTTAGAGGTGGGGAGAGCTATTAGAATAATCCATGTGATAAAAGATGGTGGCCTGGACAAGAGTGGTAGAAATAAGAGACAGTAAAGTGGATGTAAAGTGAATTGATTTGGGATATATTTTGGAAGTGGAGCTGGTGAAACTTGCTAACAAAATGAATGTGGGTGTTTTGTGAATGAAAGGATTCAGGGACAGCTCAGGTTTTTGGTTTAATAAAAGTGGTGGATCTGTTTTCTAAGGGGAAGATAGAAGTAAGGCCAAATTTTGGAGAAAGAGGAGATTAACAGTTTTGTTTTGGCTTATATATTTAATGTAATTTAGTTTTGGGGGTAAATTCAATATGGCTGAGATGATGATTATAATAATTATTCTCTGTTTCATCTTGCTTTCTCTACAACTTCACAAATTCTCCAAGTTTGTTAACAATCCAATGATGGAGAAATTCACAAACATTAACAAAAATATTAAATACTTACTGAAAGAAATAAAATCATTCACCAAATGAGGGAGAAATTCACAAACATTAACAAAAATATTAAATACTTACTGAAAGAAATAAAATCATTCACCAAATTTGTTGTGTTCTTCATTCAATATTTACTATGTACTACTTGTTAATAGTAGTATATACTATGTGTACTATTTATAAAACTTGGAGTGAAACATAGCTGAATAGCCTAAAAGACTCATGTGTGTGTGTGTGTGTGTGTGTGTGCATGTGTGTTTGTGTGTGTGATAGACAGGATGGCTTCTGTGTAATATCAGGATGGGGTATCACATTGAATGATGTTGTGGGCCGAATAGTGTCTCCCCTTAATCCATTCTCATGCTGCTATAAAGGACTGCCTGAGATTGGGTAACTTACAAAGGAAAGAAGTTTAATTGACTCACAGTTCTGCAGTGCTATGGAGACCTCAGGAAACTTAGTCATGGTGGAAGGGGAAACAAATACGTCCTCCTTCACATAATGGCAGGAAGGAGAAGTGCAGAGTGAAAAGTGGGAAAAAGCCTCTTATGGAACTACAGTTCAAGATGAGATTTGGGTGGGGAAACAGCCAAACCATATTATCTCTCAAATTCATATGTTGAAGCCCTAACTCTCAGTACTAAGAATGTGACTGTATTTGGAGATGGGGCCTTTAAAGAGATAATTAAGGTAAAATTAGGGTGCACTGTGATCCAATGTGACTGTTGTCCTTAAAAGGAGGTTGGCTGTGGTGGCTCACGCCTGTATTCTGAGCTCTTTAGAAGGCTGAGGAAGGTGGATCGCTTAAGTCCAGAAGTTTGAGACCAACCCTGTCTCTACAAAAAATACACACACACACACACACACACACACACACACACACACACACACACACAGAAAATTAGCTGTGCATTGTGGCACATGCCTGTTATCGTAGCTACTAGGGAGCCTGAGGTGGGAGGATCACTTGAGCTCAGGTGGTCAAGGCTGCAGTGAGCTGTGATCATGCCACTGCACTCCTGCACTCCAGCCTGGGTGAGTAAGACACTGTCTCAAAAAAAAATTAAAAAAGGAGATTAAACAGACCCACAGAAGATCATATGAACACACAGATGAAAGGTGGTTGCCCACAGGTTGAAGGGTAAGGCCTTGGAATAAATCAACCCAGTTGACACCTTGGTCTCAGATTCGTACTCTCCAGAATGGTGAAAACGTTAATCTTTTGTTTAAGCCACCCAGTCTGTAGCATTTTCTTAAGGCAGCCCTAGCAAATGACTACAAACAGCTACTGAATCTCTTCTACATACATAGACTAACTGAGTAAGGAAAGCTCAGTCAGGAAGTAGATCACAGGTTGCAGCTTGGAATACTTTTTTTTTCTCTAAGAATGCTCTCCTTTATAGGATACCTAACCATACCCTTAGGATCTCCTGGGATGTCTATTGTGTTTATAAGGTGCTTTATTCTTCTTGCCTACCCGCCATAATGTGCAGGAGGTAGACCAGTTGGTACATTATTCTTATTCTCCTTAGATTTTGATATTAGCCTAATATGTTTACAAATAATTTTTTGTCTTATTGTTTTTCTGCTAAAATACATGAAAATAGATTTTTGTTCATTATATGTAGATGGTATGTTTCAAATGGTCTGACTTAAATTTTAGGCAATGTAGTGGATTCACCCTGAGGGAAATGCACCTCAAATTGAGATATCTTTCAAAACTGTAAGAAACAGGTGTGACTGTTGAAGGACACACAACATGTACTAAGTCTCCATGCACAGAACAAACAGTGAGTTATAATACTAGATAAACCATGAGATAAAAATCCTATGGACAAACATTCTGAATTGTAAGCATTGATTTTTCTATCAATCTGCTTTTTATATAGGCAAAGGAATTTATCTAGCAAATCAAAAGGCAATATGTGCCAAGTATTGCATGAACAGATTATTATATGTATCTCCTATTAGCTTGCAAATATTAATGCTTTATATAGCATCATAAATATTACATTTTATCTCAATATTTGCAAAATTACCCAAGTCCTCCTTTTCTATGTCCTTTATTTAACAATGTGGCCTATCTTTTCCAAAGTTTCTTCTTTAGCAGGGTGTGATCCTCTGTGCCTCGCAGGATAAGTGGAGTTCATATCGTTTTGTACTATGATTGTGATCACAGCAGATAATTACATAGTAGATAGAATTGTATAGAATAGTGTAAAAAGGACCAGATGGAGGAATAGGGCAGGAAACACAAGATCAGCACGGAAACAGCACAGTATAATTCTCAATGGTATTATAGCCATGAATTTCTTTATTCCAAAATTAATAATTTATTTTGATACTAAATCTATTCAACACCTTTCAAAAGGTCCAGCATTAAATATGCTGATATTTTCCTTAATTGATGCTAAGATATGACACATTTAAAAAACTTTTGTTATTTTTATATTTATTTTCTTAGATTCTAGGTGTCTAAGAGGGGTCAGCCCAAGAAATTGCTGATTAAGTGTTTGAAGTTGACAAGCCAGTAATCAGCTCTCTTGGGAATAGCTGGTTAATTCACATCTCGATGGGCTTCAGAAGATGATTTAAGTGATTTCTTTGTGACAGAGTGTCCAGGATCAACTATAACCTGTTCCATTCTGAGTTTGAAGATAGATATGGAAAACTTTGATTTCCATTCAATTTAACTTGACCTTTTTAGATATAAACAAGAGAAGTTATTTCAAAAAAGTTGTTTACATAAAGAAAGGAGTCTAATGGAGACATTTTCTAAAATCAAAATATGAAAATCAGTGAAACTATATTGAAATAGCAATTACAAAATAGCTACTGAGCCTTTTCTGTTATTCATGGTCAAATTGCAGTTTAAGTTGATTTCACCAGGATATATTTGAGGTTAATGTCTCTTATTTTATTTTCATTTTTATTTTATTTTATTTTATTATTATTATACTTTAAGTTTTAGGGTACATGTGCACAACGTGCAGGTTAGTTACCTATGTATACATGTGCCATGCTGGTGTGCTGCACCCATTAACTCATCATTTAGCATTAGGTATATCTCCTAAAGCTATCCCTCCCCCCTCCCCCCACCCCACAACAGTCCCCAGAGTGTGATGTTCCCCTTCCTGTGTCCATGTGTTCTCACTGTTCAATTCCCACCTATGAGTGAGAATATGCAGTGTTTGGTTTTTTGTTCTTGCGATAGTTTACTGAGAATGATGGTTTCCAATTTCATCCATGTCCCTACAAAGGACAAGAACTTATCATTTTTTATGGCTGCATAGTATTCCATGGTATATATGTGCCACATTTTCTTAATCCAGTCTATCATTGTTGGACATTTGGGTTGGTTCCAAGTCTTTGCTATTATGAATAGTGCCACAATAAACATACGTGTGCATGTGTCTTTATAGCAGCATGATTTACAGTCCTTTGGGTATATACCCAGTAATGGGATGGCTGAGTTAAATGGTATTTCTAGTTCTAGATCCCTGAGGAATTGCCACACTGACTTCCATGGTGGTTGAACTAGTTTACAGTCCCACCAACAGTGTAAAAGTGTTCCTATTTCTCCACATCCTCTCCAGCACCTGTTGTTTCCTGACTTTTTAATGATTGCCATTCTAACTGGTGTGAGATGGTATCTCATTGTGGTTTGATTTGCATTTCTCTGATGGCCAGTGATGGTGAGCATTTTTTCATGTGTTTTTTGGCTGCATAAATGTCGTCTTTTGAGAAGTGTCTGTTCATGTCCTTCACCCACTTTTTGATGGGGTTGTTTGTTTTTTTCTTGTAAATTTGTTTGAGTTCATTGTAGATTCTGGATATTAGCCCTTTGTCAGATGAGTGGGTTGCGAAAATTTTCTCCCATTTTGTAGGTTGCCTGTTCACTCTGATGGTAGTTTCTTTTGCTGTGCAGAATCCCTTTAGTTTAATTAGATCCCATTTGCCAATTTTGGCTTTTGTTGCCATTGCTTTTGGTGTTTTCCTATTCAACATAGTGTTGGAAGTTCTGGCCAGGGCAATTAGGCAGGAGAAGGAAATAAAGGGTATTCAATTAGAAAAAGAGGAAGTCAAATTGTCCCTGTTTGCAGATGACATGATTGTATATCTAGAAAACCCCATTGTCTCAGCCCAAAATCTCCTTAAGCTGATAAGCAACTTCAGCAAAGTCTCAGGATACAAAATCAATGTACAAAAATCACAAGCATTCTTATACACCAATAACAGACAGAGAGCCAAATCATGAGTGAACTCCCATTCACAATTGCTTCAAAGCGAATAAAATACTTAGGAATCCAACTTACAAGGGACGTGAAGGACCTCTTCAAGGAGAACTACAAACCACTGCTCAAGGAAATAAAAGAGGATACAAACAAATGGAAGAACATTCCATGCTCATGGGTAGGAAGAATCAATATCATGAAAATGGCCATACTGCCCAAGATAATTTATAGATTTAATGCCATCCCCATCAAGCTACCAATGACTTTCTTCACAGAATTGGAAACAACTACTTTAAAGTTCATATGGAACCAAAAAAGAGCCCTCATCGCCAAGTGAATCCTAAGCCAAAAGAACAAAGCTGGAGGCATCATGCTACCTGACTTCAAACTGTACTACAAGGCTACAGTAACCAAAACAGCATGGTACTGGTACCAAAACAGAGATATAGACCAATGGAACAGAACAGAGCCCTCAGAAATAACGCCGCATATCTACAACTATCTGATCTTTGACAAACCTGAGAAAAACAAGCAATGGGGAAAGGATTCCCTATTTAATAAATGGTGCTGGGAAAACTGGCTAGCCATATGTAGAAAGCTGAAACTGGATCCCTTCCTTACACCTTATAATGTCTCTTATTTTTTAAAAAATAGTTTTATGGGATTTAACTGATATATAACTAGCTTCACATATATTAAGTGTAAAATTTGATAAGTTTTGACATGTCATATAACCCATTAAATTATCACCACAATCACGATGATGAATATATCTATCTCCTTCCAAATTTTTCCTGGTGCCCCCTTTTTAATCCCTTCTCACTCTACAATCTCCAGAATACCGTTATTCTGCTTTCTGTCACTGTGGATCGGTTTGCATTTTCTTGAATTTTATATAAATGGAATCATACAGTATGTCCTCCTTTCTGTTTGGCTTCTTTAACTCAGTGAAATTATTTTGAGATTCATCCGTTTTGTTGTGTACCAATAGTTCATTCCTTTGTATTATTTAGTACTGATGCATTGTATCAATGTACCATGATTGTTTATATATTCACTTCTGGATGGACATTTTGACTTCTGGACATTTTAATAAAGCTACTGTAAACATCTGTGTGCAAGTCTGTGTGGATATACATTCTCATTTTGGGAGGAGAGGAGGTAAATATCTAGGAGTAGAATGCCTGGATTATATGGTCAGTGTATATTTATCATTTCAGAAATTTTTCATTAAATTTAACATTTTAAATAATGGTTTTCCAAAGTTTTTGTACTATTTTACATTGAAACTAGCAGTGCATGGAAATTTTAGTTCCTTCACATTCTTACCACTACTTGGTATAGAAAGCCTTTTACATTTTAGCCATCCTAAAGCATATATTGGTATACCATTATGGTTTTATTATGCATTTATCTAATAAGTAAATATGTTGAGCATCATTTTATGTGTTTATGTACCATTCACTATTCTTTGATGAAGTGTCTTTTCAAATATTTGCATATCTCCTATTCTGTTTATTATTGAGTATGAATTATTTGTGTATTCTGGATACAATTCTTTATCAGATATATGCTTTCAAATATTTTCTCCTATAAGTGTCTTTAAAAAGTAGAAACTTTTGATTGCCTGCATGCAGTGGTGTTTAGAATTAATTGAAAACTACCAGTTACAGATTTCCTTGTTCCTTCTCCACCTCCAGTGCTTTACTTGACTAGCCAAAAAAAAAAAAAAAAGTAGAAGCTTTTAATTTTGATAAAGCCAATTTGTTCACTTTTTCTTTTAGGGTTTGTGTTTTATACATCATATTTAAGAAATATTTCCCTAATGCAAGTTAATAATATTTTCTCATGTTTTCCTTTAGCAGTTTATTTTGGGTTTTACACTTAATTATGTAATTCATTTTTAGTTTATTTTTAATATGATGTATTAAAGAATATTTTTCTACATATGAATATTGTCCAAGCATTATTTCTTTAAACTACCCTTTCTTCAGTTGATTGCATGTAAGCTTTGTTAAGAATCAGTCATTTATATGTGTTGAGTTGTTTGTGAAATCTCTATTCTGTTCCATTGGTATACATGTCTACCTATATTCCAGTGGCACACTGTCTGGATTACTATAACTTTAAGTGTTGAAATCCTGTAGAGTTAGTCTTTCATGTTTGTTCCTTTTCAGCATTGCTTTGTTGCTTATAGGCCCTTGAACTTTATTATGAATTTTTGAGTCTGGCTTTTTTTCTTCTCCCTGGTCTTGGCTATGTTGGCATCTGCCTGGACTCCCCACCTTGTGTTATGTCTTTTATGGCAGTAAGCTGCGGCAATCATAGACTCACCTGATCTGTTTCCACCTCTCAAGAATCATGGTCATTAATTGTCTAGGTGTCCAGTGCCTTGAAGCTATTTCATATATTCATTTTTTTTGGCTGTGTTAAGCAGAAAGATAAATCCAGTTCCTTTTACTCAATCTTTTGGACAGAAATGGAGGTCCAAAATAAATCCCTTGGGCCTGTTTTAAACAAGTTTCTTCCTGTAGTTCTTTCTGACTTGAGGAAGGACTCACCTTATCCTAGATATCTTATCCTGTTTCTTCCTAATAGGCTTTCTCAGATGTCTTCTCTGAGCAACTGTAGTATAAATGCACAGACTCTAGAGTCAGAGAGGTCTGCACCTGAATGCTTGTCTGTTAGTAAGAAGTTGTTGCTTAACTTACTAGCAATCTGTTTAACCTTTTCAGTTTTAGTTTCTTTATATTTAATACTGTATTTCTAAAACTGAAGTTGAGAATTGAGAATTAAAGTGGAAATTAAATGAGTCAGCTTTATGCATAAAAACTTTTTATTACATTGCTTAACACAGGTAAACCATTGACAATGTTGACTGTTACTGTAATTGCTAATAATACTAATGTCACTACCTATACCATCATTACTTCTTACTACTATGACCCTCAAACCTGAGTTTATATGTTTATGAAGTAGTTCTCTTATCATAGGTTGCAACTCAACCCATGTTTTAATAGGGCCAGATTTAGTCATACGACAATGACTTCTATTTTTTTTCTATCTATTACAAGGCCTAATAAAGGGCTTATCCTGAAGGAGGTTGTCAATACATATGGCAATACTGGATTTTCATTGTTACACATGTTGCCTCTATAGATGTGTAATCATAACTATAGTAAATATAAATGCTGCTTTTCTCGAGAAATTCCTCAACTGATACATAAAGAGACTTTGGGTTAAATGGTCCATGCACATACTTATAGATGATTCTTTCTTCAAAATTCTGTCTTCTAATCAATCTTTAGGAACACTAATGAAAATTTCAAGTATATAGTGGGTGAATGTTTTTGGCCTATTGAGGTACATGAAGTTTGACATGGGAGCATCTTCACCTTTTTGTTTTTAAGCAGATACTGCAGTGAAGCTTAGTGTTTTTTTTTTCTTTAAAAAATCTACCAAAACAAAAAGTTCTTAAAAGTCTACTTAGTTACCTTGTAGTTACTTAGCTTACTTAATCTGTCTAGTTCTTAAACATCTATTCAAACAAAATGTTCTTCAGAATCCATCTATCCACCTATCTATTATATATCTATCATCAAGGAGGAGGTGATCTAGTTCAAACAGGGGTGGAAAGTTTAGAATGTGCTCTTTTCACCTTTTTGTAATCAGCCCCTACTTCTTCACACACTCTTTTCTTCTGAACCTAATCCACTCTATGGAGCAGCTTAAAGATTTTTGAAGTGTAATGTATACCACGTTTGGGTACAGTCAAAACTAAGTTCATACTGGTACCACCTGCTACCTATACGTCGTTGGAAAAGTCGCTAAACCTTCCTGAACTTCAATTTCATCATTATACAGCTGGTGTAATAGTGCAGGATTGTTTATAAGATTAGAGATAAATTATAAAAAGCAACGGCATATAATAGGGCTGATCTCACCAGGCTTTTTTTTTTAAATTAGGTTATGATTTGAACAAAAAAGATGAAGAATGGTTTAGATTAATTAGAAACACTATAAATTTCAGAATTTCCCTCAGAGCATTCCCCTTGGCAGAACGATGTGACTATCTTTCTCCTAAAGGTAACCCCATATCGACCTGGCTGAAAAGGGGGCTTTGGAGATTTGGACTTAAATATGTTTAGATTGCATGAAAAAGTTTCTGTGAAACTCCTTTTGTTTTTTCTTTTGCATCGACTTTTTGATGAAAAGTTCAGTAGGGAATGACAGAAAAAAATGTAGTTATGGTTAATGAAATTGAGCCTGAAGACTTTGTAACAAAGAATGGCAAAATCCAGGGCACCTGAGGAGGAAACACATTAGGCTCCTGGGGCAGTAGAGGCAGGGGATTTAATGATACTTGTCTTTCAGAAATGGCTTCTGGAGCCTTCCTCCCAGGAGGAAACCACCTGCACAGCTCTTTAGGTTGCTGTTGTGGGCCATTTATCCCACGCTACTTTCCAAGCTGCTGCAAACACCTTAAATTCAAACCATCCCTTTTCTGAAGTCTTCTACAGTGAGAGGCCAGGGGATGGCTCCAGCTCCTGCTCTTTCCTCGAAGGACATTTCCTGATGCCTACACCTTGTGGAATAGATGAATTGGCATCAGCAAGCAGGGCTACTTGAAACTGACTGCCAACAGGGGATGAACTTAACTTGAATTATTGGGACTAAACTGGGAGGTCCAGTGGGAGACCACATTGTGTGTATATGTGTGAGGTGTGGCAACCACTGCGATGTGTGTCATGAAGGGATCTCTAACAATTCTAAGTTCCGTTTCCAACAGTTCCATGTGTGTCCTCTGGAATTGTAGTGTGTGTGTGTGTGTGTGTGTGTGTGTGTGTATGTGTGTAAACAAGGCCTGTCTCATGAAAACCCCATGATTTCCATCTTGGGGTTGTTATCAGGAACATCCCAGTGCTTATGGAAAACACCTGGTAGAGGACTAAATCCTCAGACATGTGTTCTGCAGGAAGCTTACCTACAGAGAATATTATTCCCTTAGAAAGATTACATGAAATTTGTCCCTGACTTTTGCTGAGGTAACAATGACCCCCATCTCAGCCTAAAGGTCATTCAGGGCAGCTCCAGCTTATGGATCAAAAATGTATGGATGATAATGTTTGTCATAGTTTTTTCATTACAAGCCAAGGCAAAGTATGTGCAAATTATTAATACAGCCTGCTTGTACCAGGGTATATGCTTTGGATTAGGTAGACAAAAAACTGGAAGAAGAAGCTAAAATCACTAACTCAAGCTAAGCATTTTTTGGTGACTTATGCTAAAGAAAGCTTAATGAAGCAAAAGAATACTGATGAGGAATCAGAAGACAGCCTGCAGTCCTATATCTATTATTATTTGTGTGGTTAGTTGACTTTAGCCAGATAATTGAATATCTCTAACACTTAATTTCCC
The DNA here is from genome assembly GCF_000001405.40 of Homo sapiens. Taxonomy (NCBI): domain Eukaryota; kingdom Metazoa; phylum Chordata; class Mammalia; order Primates; family Hominidae; genus Homo; species Homo sapiens. The sequence goes on along the minus strand of NC_000012.12, from coordinate 38,270,751 downwards.
TATTTGTTGAATAAGGAAATTGAGTTAATTAAATTTTTTCTTCAGAAATTATTTTCTGATTCTGATTCTAAAATGGCCAGGAGTACAGTACAATATTAGTGAAATTATCAGTGGTATGTTTTGTAGGAAGGGAAGATGTTTTTGAAAGGGATTTGTTGCCTTATCACTTCTCCAATAATATCCTACCTCCATGGTCAATATCCTACCACTTTACCTATCTGCATGACTGGAGTTGCCTGCCAAAATAAATAAAATATTTCTTAGAGTAAGAGGTAGAGAACATAATGGAATAGAGAAGAGTTTATATGAGGTTTCTATTCAAAGCCTTTCAAAATGAGAGTTGTTTTATTGCAATGAGTAAAATGAACACAGCAGCAAAGAAGGATGCTGTTCCAGGAATTTTCTCCATCTCTGAAGTAGATTTTATTAGACCAGTAACAAGTATATAGTTAAAGAAGTCTGTACCTCATAATTTATGGTGTAAAGTTAGTGGATCTTTTATACCTTTAAGATCTATTTAATGGTTAACTCTGGAATTATTATTCTATTGTTAAGGTTAAGATTAGAGCTATGAAAGTAAACTCTACATATAGAATGTTCAACTCCAAAACTATTTGTTATTGAGCAACTTCCTGCTCTGTCATAGTACTCAATATGCATAGTACATTTAGAAAGAAGTGTCTGTCATAAAAGTAGATCCATTGAGTCATAGTGAGTTCTATCTGGATGGCTATACATCGTTACCTTATATTGGAAATGCAAGAAGCAATATAATCATTGTTCTATTTAAATTTTTTTAAAAATAATTTTGATTCAGCTTGGACTCATAAGGTTACTGTGACATTGTTTGCAGTGACATTTAAAAAACAAAATTTATGTGTTTAGGGTTGAAGTAATGGTTTTAGTTTTGACAGAAAGGAAAAAAATGTTTTTCATAGAAAGAATTAAATTATAAACAACCACTTAAATGACAGCTAATCCATAAAAGTTTATTTTATTCAAACATCATTGTCTTATATTAAGAATGGATGGTTTGCCATAAGAAGCCATGTTCCAGGCTAAGAAGTTGGCTTATCGGAGGGTTAAGCCAAATTTATATTCCTGGAACTTCTGTTTAGTTTTGCATTGCTTTATGTTCAATTTCTCAGTGCCAGGCCACCAATCGGCACTGTTAGTCCCTTTCCTTAACAACACTTCGTTGACATTGCAATGGAGTCTACACTAATTTTAACCATTAAAATGACACAAAAATGTTGCTTAACCAGACTATATTTCAGAAACTTATTTTAATCTTCTTTAGGTGTTTGTAAAAGTGAGAGTGAAATGTCAACCCAACCGTGGAGCCTGCCTGGTAGTGTTCTATCAGTTTCCATTTTAATTTTCCAATCATTTTTACATAATATACTTCTTATTGTTACTGCTGTTCTTTAGAAAGCAACAATAAACACAGTTTAAAAGAATCATAGTGACTTTCATTATATATGCCTTTTGTTTACAGGCACACAAAAATGAGAAATTGGTTTTAAAAGTGAATATTGAGTCTTTTATTACCACCCTTGGTGAAAGGGTGGGTGGATCCGTGGATGGATAGAGCCTTGGGTCAAAAGAGTAAAACCTCTGGCTGCCAAAATCAAGATTCTATTTTATCTGAGAGTCAGCATAAAGTGAACTGGCCAGAGCTGTCCATGCCATCACACCACCCAATCTGAAGTTTGCATGTGAGCTTCAAGAAAATCTAAATTCACACATGTTCTGACTTTGGAGCAAAATGCTCAAAATGAGTAATGGTTACTACTGTGGAGCATGTTCTCCAAAGTTAATGCATCATTTTACCAAAAGCTAAACTCCCTATATATTCATATCCATTCTCATCCTCCCTCTCTCTTATTCTCACTCTCTCTCATTCTCTCTCTCTCTTATTCTCTCTCTCATTCTCTCTCTCTGCTATTCTCTCTCCCTCTCTTATTCTCTCTCTCTGTCATATTCTCTCTCTCTCTCTCATATTCTCTCTCTCTCTCATATTCTCTCTCTCTCTCATATTCTCTCTCTCTCATATTCTCTGGTAAAAATAAGGCCATAGATCTCCTGCTTTGACTTTCTTATACCCTCTGGCTTACAATGTTTTTAAATAGACCATGATTCCTCCTAATTTTTCTATCTCTTTGAGATGTCAACAAATGCTGAGAATTATGCTAGACAAATAGTTAAATGTATTTAGAGGTCAATTTTTGTGTAACCTTGAACAATTCATCTAATAATGCGAACCTCAGGTTTTTAATTTTTTTTTTTTTTGGGGATGGGGTCTCGCTCTGTGGCCCAGGCTGGAGTGCAGTGGTGTGATCTCGGCTCACTGCAAGCTCCATCTCCCAGGTTCACACCATTCTCCTGCCTCAGCCTCCCGATTAAATGGGACTACAGGCACCTGCCATCACAGCCGGCTAATTTTTTATATTTGTTAGTAGAGACAGGGTTTCACCATGTTAGTTAGGATGGTCTTGATCTCCTGACCTTGTGATCCGCCTACCTCGGCCTTCCAAAGTGCTGGGATTACAGGTGTGAGCCACCATGCCCAGCCTTAATTTCTTAATTAATTTCTTGATTTTTAAATTCAGTTATTTTCCAGATTTTGTAGAGTTTTCATCAGAGTAGCTGTGTGTGTGTATCTGCCCCCAACAACATGTTTGTCTACACATATCACACCCCTCACCTCTTTGATCCATACCTCAGAGACTTGGCCTATATGTACCACAACTACACAAAGGCTCCTTGCCCTTTGACTTCTAGTTGGGTTCTGCAAATCAACAGTCACAAGCAGATCATAATCCTGGAGAAAGAAGAGGTCCTCCATGTATATTCCCCTGGCTCTGCTCCTCTCTTGCTTGTACTGGGGTTGGAAGAGGCTATGTTCTTCTACCAAAGACCAAACAAGTCTTGTTAAGAGGTCCAGCTCCTAGAGTTAGTTATCTTGCTAGCTGTGTTCTTTTCAGCTCTCCTGGACTTCTCAGTCCTAGCAGTATTAACAAATGATGCCACTTGTCTCAGGATATTTCACGATCCTTTAATGGATTCCTACAAACCTGAACACATGTTTATGAACACTTTCTCCATTAAACTCTTTGCAATAATTAGTTTGTGCATTCTGTTTCCTGCCATGACTACCACTGATGGACTGGGTAAATTGTCCTTTCTTTTAGTTATTTTCTTAGATTTTCTAATTAGCATAGAATTAAAGTTAAGACACAAATCAACTTGCTAAAAAAAAGATAAGCTTTGAACATTGAGGCAACATATATAAGTGTTGGGGGCACTTATAGTCTAATAACTTTTTTTAAAGCAATATCTTACCAAATCAATACATAAATAATAAGGATAATAAATTTTAATTTGCTTTTTCCTGATGACATATGATGGGGAGCATCTTTTTATATGCTTATTTGCCATCTGAATATCTTTTTAAAAATTATACTTTAAGTTCTAGGATACATGTGCAGAACTTGCAGGTTTGTTATATAGGTATACCGTGCTATGGGGGTTTGCTGCACCCATCAACCCATCATCTACATTAGGTACTTCTCCTAATGCTATCCCTCCCCTAGATCCCCACCTCCTGACAGGCCCCAGTGTGTGATGTTCTGATCCTATGTCCATGTCCATGTGTTCTCATTGTTCAGTTCCCACTTATGAGTGAGAACATGTGGTGTTTGGCTTTGTTTCTGTGTTAGTTTGCTGAGAAGGATGGTTTCCAGCTTCATCCATGTCCCTGCAAAGGACGTGAACTCATCTTTTTTTATGGCTGCATAGTATTCCATGGTGTATATGTCACATTTTCTTTATCTAGTCTATCACTGATGGTATTTGGGTTGGCTCCAAGTCTTTGCTATTGTGAATAGTGCTGCAATAAACATATGTGTGCATTTGTCTTTATAGCAGAATGATTTGTAATCCTTTGGGTATATACTCAGTAATGGGATTACTGGGTCAAATGGTATTTCTGGTTCTAGATCCTTGAACAATTGCCACACTGTCTTCCACAATTGTTGAATTAATTTACACTCCCATCAACAGTATAAAAGTGTTTCTATTTCTCCACGTCCTTGTCAGCATCTGTTCTTTCCTGACTTCTTAATGATCGCCATTCTAACTGGTGTGAGATGGTATCTCACTGTGATTTGAATTTGCATTTCTCTAATGACCAGTGATGATGATCATTTTTTCATATGTTTGTTGGCTGCATAAATGTCTTCTTTTGAAAAGTGTCTGTTGATATCCTTTGCCCACTTTTTGATGGTTTATTTTTCTTGTAAATTTTTTTAGGTTTTGTAGATTCTGGATATTAGCCCTTTGTCAGATGGATAGATTACAAAATTTTTCTCCCATTCTTTAAGTTTCCTGTTCATTCTGATGAGTTTCTTTTGCTGTGCATAGGCTCTTTAGTTTAATTAGGTCCCATTTGTCAATTTCAGCTTTTGTTGCCATTGCTTTTGGTGTTTTAGTCATGAAGTCTTTGCTCATGCCTATGTCCTGAATGGCATTGCCTAGGTTTTCTTCAGACCACTCCTATTCAACATAGTATTGGAAGTTCTGGCCAGGGCAATCAGGCAAGAGAAAGAAATAAAGGGTGTTCAATTAGGAAAAGAGGAAGTCAAATTGTTTCTGTTTGCAGGTGACATGATTGTATATTTAGAAAACCCCATCATCTCAGCTGCAAATTTCTTTAAGCTGATAAGCAACTTCAGCAAAGTCTCAGGATACAAAATCAATGTGTGCAAATCACAAGCATTCCTATACGCTGATAATAGACAGAGAGCCAAATCATGAGTTAACTCCCATTCACAATTGTTACAAAGAGAATAAAATACCTAGAAATACAACTTACAAGGGATGTAAAGGACCTCTTCAGGGAGAACTACAAACCACTGCTCAAGGAAATAAGAGGACACAAACAAATGGAAAAACATTCCATGCTCATGGAAAGAAAGAATCAATATCATGAAAATGGCCACACTGCCCAAAGTAATTATGGATTCATTGCTATCCCCATCAAGCTATCATTGACTTTCTTCAGAGAATTAGAAAAAACTACTTTAAATTTCATATGGAACCAAAAAATAACCTGTATACCCAAGACAATCCTAACTGAAAAGAACAAAGCTGGAGGCATCACGCTACCTGACTTCAAACTTTACTACAAGGCTACAGTAACCAAAACAGCATGGTCCAGGTACCAAAACAGAGATATAGACCAATGGAACAGAACAGAGGCCTCAGAAATAACATCATGCATCTACAACCATCTGTTCTTTGACAAACCTGACAAAAACAAGAAATGGGGAAAGGATTGCCTATTTAATAAATGGTGTTGGGAAAATTGGCTAGCCATATGCAGAAAACTGAAACTGGACTCCTTCCTTACACCTTATACAAAAATTAACTCAAGATGGATTAAAGACTTAAATGTAAGACCTAAAACCATCCTTATGTCTTCTTTGGTGAGTTGTGTATCTAGGTTTTTTTGCCCATTTTTTAATTGGTTTCTTCATTTTCTTATTGTTCAGTCTGAAGACTTCTTTGTATATTTTAGATGACGGTCTTTATCAAATATGTCTTTCCCAAACATTTTCTCCAAGTTTGCAGTTTGTCTTCTCATTTTTTTTTAAATGTGATATTTGATCCTGAAGTGATATATTTATACTAATGAAAACATTGACTATTTTGTTAAAGTGTAATTGAGGAAATTCACTTGAAATTATAGAATTAGCTATACTGATATTTTACGAAGATATTTACTGTAAATATTTTCAATTTAAAAAGAATTGTTTTGAAGTATTGGAAGTCATCACTGGTCAGTGTTTTTAGTGTGAAAATACAGAATGTGTCTACTTGCTCTTTCTTGGGACATCATCTCAAAAGGATGTATATTTTGTAGCTGTAATTTTTAAAGTCACAAGTTTTACGTTTTTATTCAATACTGACTCAAAATCAGGAGGCATATTATTTACTATTAACAATTTTCTGTAGCTAAAACTATTAGTGGACTGGCTTTCAGATGCTACTTTTCTTATTCACTCAATAAAACCATTGCTATCCATGTTCATATAACCAAAACTCTCTAGACCAGCTCTCTCTTAAAAGTTAATAGTAATTATCTTAGTCAGCTAGAGCTGCCATAACAGAATCCCGTGGACTAGGTGGTTTAAATAACAGAAATTAATTTTCTAACAGTTCTGGAGGCAACAGTTTCATGTTGCCACAGTGTGAAATCAGGGTGGCAACATGATTGTGTTCTGATGAAGACTCTCTTCCTGGCTTGCAGCCTGCTATCTTCTCATTGTGTCCTCACATGGAGAGGCAGAGGTTGGGGGTAGAGAGGAGCTATCTTTCTCTTCTTGTTATTGCACAGTCCAAATGGATTAAGATCCTACCCTTACGATTTCATTTAACCTTAATTATCTCCAAAAGATCCTATCCCCACGTACAGTCACACGTGGGCTTAGGGCTTCAACGTATGAATTTTTAGGATACACTATTCAGTCCATAGCATTAATTCAGTATTTTTTTAAGTCTTCCATTTTGGCATGGGCATAAGTTTTTAATACACAAGAAAACAAGTGGTTGAGGGCTCCTTTCTCACATACATCAAGGCTTGATTTATATTCCAAATTCAACAAATATATCAATTTGTAAAGCTATTGCACAGACATAGAAATAGATGCCTCTTTCACATTGCATTTCTTACATATTATGCCACAAGAACAAATACCATTTATTAAATAATTTTGCCAAATGTTTATTCTGCTTTTTCCCTGAGCATGTTTGCCTTTACATCATTTGGCATGTTTCTCAGCATTAATACTTTTTTCTTTTTTTGCTATGAGAATGGCAACCTTGAAAGATGCCCTATAAACTAGGTTCTTTTCTGTGTTTAATGATGAACTTTTTCAACTTTATAATGAAAATAATTACTTTGTGCTCATTGTGGTAGTTCTATTTTTAGTTTTTGAGAAATCTCCATACTGTTTTCCATAAGGACTGTAATAATTTACATTCCCATCAACAATGTGTAAGAGTTCCCTTTTCTCTGTATCCTTGCCATCATGTGTTTTTTGTTTGTCTTTTTGATAGCAGTCATGCCAACTGGGGTAAGATAATATCTCATTGTAGTTTTGATTTTCATTTCCCTGATTAGTGATGATGTGCGTTTTTTTCATACAGCATTTTTTCATATACACATTGGCCATTTGTATTCTTTTGAAAAATGTCTATTCATGTCCTTTGCTCACTTTTTAATGAGACTGTTTATTGCTGTTGGGTTTTTTGCTGTTGAGTTGTTTGATTTCCTTGTATATTCTGGATATCCTTGTATATTCTGACATTCTTGTCAGATAAGTAGTTCACAAATATTTTCTCCCATTTAACAGGTTGTCTCTCCATTCTATTGGTTGTTTCTTTTCTGTCCAGAAGCTTTTTAACTTAAAATAGTCCCATTTATCTATTTTTGTTTTTGTTGCTTGTGCTTTTGAGATCTTAGTCATAAAATCTTTGTCCTGTAGTATTTACATTTTCTTCTAATTTTGTATTTTCAGGTCTTATGTTTAATGCTTTAATACATTTTGAGTTGATTTCTGTGCATTGTGAGAGATAGGCATTTAGTTTCATTTTCTGCACATGGATATCTACTTTTCCCACACTATTTATTGGATAAGCTCTCCATTACCCAGTGTATGTTCTTGGCACCCTTGTTTAAAATCAGTTTGCTGTAAATACATGGATTTATTTCCTAAATGTTTGTCTGTTCAAGTGGTCAGTTTATCTGTTTTTACACCAATTCCATGCAGTTTTGGTTACTATAGCCTCGTACTATATTTTGAAGTCAGGTAGTGTGATGCCTTCAGCTTTGAATAGCTCCAGTTCGGGATTGCTTTGGCTGTTTGGGTTCTTTATTTTTTTTTCTTCTTTTTTTGTGGTTCCATACAAATTTTAGGACTTTTTCTCTAATTCTGTTAAAAATGACATTGATATTTTGATAGGGATTGCACTGAATTTGTAGATTTCTTTGGGTAGTACTGTCATTTTAACAATATTAGTTTTTTGATTCATGAGCATGTTATGTTTTTCCATTTGTTTATGTCTTCTATTTCTTTCATCAGTGTTTTGTAGTTTTCTAGAGGTCTTTCACCTCCTTGGTTAAATTTATTCCTAGGTATTTTATTGTTTTTGTAACTATAGTAAATGGGATTGCTTTATTTTTATCAGCCATTTCATTATTGGTGTATTGAATTGGTACTGATTTTTGTATGTTGATTTTTGTATCCTGCAATTTTATTGAATTTGTTTATTAAATCTAGTAATTTTTTGGTGGAGTCTTTAGGTTTTTCTAAATATAAGATTATATCATCTGCAAAGAGGGACAATTTGATGTTCTCTTTTCCAATTTGGATGCCTTTTATTTCTTTCTGTTGCCTGATACCTTTGGCTAAGACTTCCAGTACAGTATGTTGACTAGGAGTGGTGAAAGTAAGCATCCTTGTTTTGTTGCAGTTTGTAGAGGAAAGTGTTCAGTGTTTCCTCATGCAGTATGAGGTTACGTGTGGATTTGTCACACATGGTCTTTATTATATTGAGGTATGTTCCTTCTATGTCTTCTTTGTTGAGCGTTTTCATCACGAACAGATGTTGAATTTTATCACATGCTTTTTTTGTGTCAATTGAGGTGCTCATGTGTTTTTTGTCTTTCATTTTGTTGATTTGATGTATCACATTTATTGATTTGCCTATATTGAACTATCCTTGGATTCTTGGGATAAATCTCATTCGATCATGGTGTATTATGCTGTTGGATTTGATGTATTTTGTGGACGACTTTGCATTTATGTTCATCAGGGACATTAGTCTATCATTTTATTTTCTTGTTTCCTTGTCTGGTTTTAGTATTAGAGTAACACTGGCCTTCTAGAATGAAGTGGTTGGGATTTCTGTTATTGATCACAGCTGTAAGCAGGAGGTTCTCAGGCTTTGGGTAGCATGCACGTTAGTCCTTAGTGACAGTGGCAGTGGCAGTGGCAGTGGCAGCATCAGCATCAGAGAAAGCCATTCCTTAGGGTACGTGCAAGTACACAACAGCCCTGCTGCCAAAGTGGGTAGGGTCACTACCAGTGGCATGCATTTCAGCCTCTAAGGGTAGAAGAAGCAACACTATCAGGTGATAGCAGAGCCCTGTACTAAGGGCATGTGCTCTGCTACTGTGGGGTCAGGGTTGCTGTCTTTGGCCTCCCAAGGCAAGCTGTCTTCAGGCTCTGGGGAGTATGTGCTTTGGCTCCCTTTGTCCCAAATGTAGTCTTTCTGGTGTGCTGCAGAACTTGTTCCCCAGGTGCAGGAGAGGCTGTGTGTGCTAGAGTACTGGGGACCCTGCCACTTCACTGGATCCAGCTGGCGTTGCACCACTGCAGCCCCACCTTTGGAAACGGGGAGATGTCAGTGACTCCAGGGAGTGTAGATGCAGGGGTTCCTGTGCCCCAGGGCATGATGCAGTCTGCTCTCAAAATGATGACATGCTGCAGCTGTTTAAGCCTGGGACAGTAGGGTGGTGGTGGGAAGGAAGGGTGAGAGCCTTCTCTGTAGCAATGCCATTGCTTGATCTCCAGGCAGCTCCTTTTGGTAGTCTCAGGGCCCATAATGGTATAGGGCTAGGGCTTCAGGATTTCATGGTGGGAATGTAGACCATGGGGATCTCTCCCTCACCCTTCCCTGCACTGGGGAGCCTCTCTTGTCTTGCAGCCAATCCTGGAGGAGGTGTCTGCCTTGCTTCTCTCTCCTCCTGTGCCCTGTGTTGCCCATCATCTCTCTACTGAACTCCAATATTCTCTCTAGATTCTCCATTCAAAGTGTGATTAACTACTTGCTGTTTTGGTTCTTTGTGGAGGAGACGAGTGCTGGATGTCTCTACTCAGCCATCTTGAAGCTCTTCTAATTTCATTTTTAATAAAACATATTATGTTTTACTTGTTTAACTCACAAACCATATATTGGTATATAACATAGCCTAATACAAATATAACAAAACTAATATATCTTATTCAAGCCTCTATTTCTATATCTTCAGGATACCATAATCTTATGGTTCCTCTCCCATCTCAACTGTAAACCTAGTTGACTGCTTGTTTTTTTTTTTTTTTTTGAGACGGAGTCTTGCTCTGTCTCCACACCTAGTCAATAGAAAATATTCGTGTTTTATTGTTATAACAAGCTCTATTTGTGTAGCCTGCCCAATTAAGTTACCTCTCTTTCAGCTTATCCATCATATCCTAGCCAACCATTCTCTTGCCATTTAGATTTTTCATAGGGAGTAAGACATCAGTCTACTCACCTTCCAAACAGAAGGGAAACATATCAGGTTTACTGATGATTATGGTAATTGCAGCCTCCTGGCTTCTATTATTTGGGGGCCCATTATCCCCATGAATGTGAGCATTTTAATTAGCAATTCTATAATAACCTGACAGTTTATTCCATCCCCTGGGATCTTTGCTAGGCTGTTGAGTCCTGTGTCCTAAGAAAGTGCTCTGAAATCAATGACTTTTTTGTGTATCCAGTCTTACATCTGGCCCCTTTGATAAAGAATCTTCAAAATCCAATGCCAGGAGGGCCCTGTTATCACTTATTGGTAAATATATGCTAATTTTTGCAATGCTTTAAATGTATAGTTTATTACATCCCATACTGTGTCCAGAATTGGTTCCTTCTGGTGGGTTCTTGGTCTCGCTGACTTCAAGAATGAAGCCACGGACCCTCATGGTGAGTGTTACAGTTCTTAAAGATGGTATGTCCGGAGTTTGTTCCTTCAGATGTTCAGATGTGTCCAGAGTTTCTTCCTTCCGGTGGGTTCGTGGTCTCACTTGACTTCAGGAGTGAAGCCACAGACCTTTGCAGTGAGTGTTAGAGCTCTGAAAAGTGGTGATTCTGGAGTTGTTTGTTCCTCCTGGTGGGCTCGTGGTCTTGCTGACTTCAGGAGTGAAGCCACAGACCTTTGCAGTGAGTGTTACAGCTCATAGTGTGGACCCAAAGAGTGAGCAGCAGCAAAATTTATTGTGAAGAGCGAAAGGACAAAGCTTCCACAACGTGATACGGGACACCAGTGCGTTGCTGCTGCTGGCACTCGGTGGCCAGCTTTTATTCCCTTATTTGGCCCACCAACATCCTACTGATTGGTCCATTTTACAGAGCACTGATTGGCCCATTTTACAGAGCGCTGATTGGTGCGTTTTTACAGAGTGCTGATTGGTGTGTTTTTACAGAGTGCTGATTGGTGCATTTACAAACCTTTAGCTAGACACAGAGCACTGATTGGTGTGTTTACAATCCTTTAGCTAGACAGAAAAGTTCTTCAAGTCCCCACCCAACCCAGAAGCCCAGCCAGCTTCACCTCTCAATACCAGGCTTAGCACATTTCTAGCCAGGTTACACAGAGATTTAATGTTAGTTATTAGCCTGGCAGCCAGAGAGGATGTGAGAGCAGCTCCCGGGAAGGGAGAGATCTATTGCCATTTGGGAAAGTGGAAGTACTAGCACTTACTAGGGAAGAGTGAGGTACTTCTGCAAGACCCAAAGATCCAGGGGAGTTAGAGTCAATGTACTCAGGACATTTAACCAGATATACTTGTCCCATGTTTCAAGATCTCAGGCTTTCTCTAGGAGGTAGATAAACTTTGCATAACAGACTTGATTTAGTGAGCATTTAAACATCTCAGAAGCTCCAGAGTTCATTGTTAATGAGGCCTTGAGCCTGCAGCTCAACTATATATTCTTCTACTGTTGGAAATATTGACCTCCTTATAAGCCACCACAGGGACTTTCTGGCTTTCATAATTAGCCATAAACTGCTTGCTAAAAGCCCTCAGAATCCCATTATCCTTCTGCAGGGTGTCAACATAATTTAGCAGTAACCAGTCAACTCCATTATTTTTGTATGCATTGTTTGTTACCTCCCCGCAGCCCTCCATTTTTCAAGTACCTGCATCATTACCCTTGCCACAGAATTCCCATACACTGGGATATTTTCCCAGGTTGTCATTGGTTGTGATAGTTTTAGCAATTGAGCCATCACTTTGCTCCAGAGATTAGCCATGCCCCACTTACCAAGACAGAATCTTCACCTGGCAGGCAGTGGATAAGTCAGGTCAGCCATCTGTTATGCTGCTACTGCCACCTAAATTAGTTTGGACCTTCCAAGAAGCAGATGCCAAGAGGGGATTAAATGTGCAAGGATATTATTAACAAAGATGTCTGTGAGATAACATGGGAGGGAGTTGGAGAAGGCTGAGAAAGTTTCAAACCTGCAATAAATGCCTGACTCTTAGTGAAAAAGAGAGGAAGGAAGCCAAGTTGGAAGGGTCCTAGACTGCAGTGCAGTCTAAGGAAAGCTCAGCAAAGGCTGTTGGAGGAACTTGTAAGCCAAAGCTGGCCATCAGAGAAGTCCCATATTTATCTGTAATGGGTTGGCCACAGTATTCTTCTAATTCTAGGCTGTTGCCTGAGGGTAACACAATAGATTTCAGTATACGGAAACTGGGCTCTTAGTTTGGAAGTTTACAGTGCAGATCCTCATGGCCTCCACGCTAGGCTTGGATGAAGAAAAGGAAACCCAATCCTAGCCCTTCACCTTGACAAGGAGCAGACTGAAGCTTCCCACACAGCAATAACCACTTCCAAATACCCTCTTTATAAATTTTCCAGGAATCTTTTTATCCTCAATGTAAATGATGGAGTTAAGAATTATTTTTTCTTTTATCCACTTTAAAACTGCAGTAAAATGATGTCATTTTTGAAGGTATGTGTATTGTCTTTATGCTTCAGCTAAAATGGAGACAAGAAAAATACCATTTTAACATCCTGTGAGGTTTGCATTGGTTAATATGATAAAAGGATCATTGGTTACCAGGTGAAACAAATTTATTTTTGTGGTGGGGGTAGGTGGGAGGGAAAATGGAATGGAGGAGGACTATGCAGATATTATGGAGTCTCCCCAATCCAGTACTGCAAATGAAGTCATCTGGTTAAAGGAAAAAACTGTTTTTTTTTTTCATGAGAGATTTGGTGAGATTCTTGTAAGGAAAAATTTCTAGAGAATGAGTTCATGAGAGTGTTCAGAGAGATTTGTAAAACTCTGGGTACAAAAAGAGTTCCGGTGGAAAAGCATGTCTCAGACCTAGGGAGGAGGCTCTTCTACCTTTCTCTGGGTGAAAATGACATATGTGGTGAGAGCATACATGAAAATCTTCTTCAGGATGGATAATATTCCTTGTCTTCATGGGCAGTGACAGTGCTTAAGCTTTTCCAATTGTCTTTACAAGGCATAAAAATGGGATTATGGGTGTCATACATGATACATTGCAGTGACTGTATCTATTATATGCTCTTAAGATCCAATTTTAGGTATTCCCAGAAATAACGGAACCAAATTTTGAATGGGACTAATTTTTGGTAGTGAAAATATTGAGTCTTGTCTATGTATATCAGTCAGGCTTCAGGCAAGAAAATGGAAAACATTCTATATTCTATTTACAAAGAATTGTAACACATGAAATTAGAGGCATATATAACTGCTATCTAGGATGAGGAATCAGAATTCAGAAAAGAAAATCTCAATTTGAACTCCGAGGTGGATTTCACCTAGAAATTGCTGGGAATTTAAGAACCTCTGGGAGCCTCCCACTGACTGTCTTAATTTGCAGAACCAACTCAAGTGATTAACAAAAATTTACTATCATATGTTTCAGCTAAACTGTAGTGAGCGCTTCACAGGAGACTGTCAGAAAATCATATAACTGCCATCTGCCTACTTGTCTGCCTGCAACTGTCTCTTTTAGTCACATCTTCTAAACAGTGTGAGATGGTTTCTCATTGACAGATGTTAACATAGAACCACATAGGGAAGAAGATGTTGGGAAATTTATTTAGAGGGATTTCTAGCAGGGGTGGAGATGATGTTGAGTTAACAAAAGACAATCCAATGTTCTATCACAATTGAGGAATACACAGAAATACAAAAGATCCTCAGACTATTACAAAACACTTCTATGCACAAAAACTAGAAAATCTAGAGGAAATGGGTAAATTCTTAGAAACATACAATCTCCACAGATTGAATTGGGAATAAATTGAAACTCTAAATAGGCCAATATCAAGTTCCAAAACTGAATCTGTAATAATAATAATAGAAAAACTATGAACCAAATAAGGCCCTGGATTCACAGCCGAATTCTACCAGATGTACAAAAAAAAGCTGGTACCAATTCTACTGAAACTATTCCTAAGGAGGAGAAACTCCTCCCTAGCTCCTTCTGTGAAGCAGGCATCATCCAATGATAATGCTGTCCAATATCCTTGTTGGCCAAAGATTCAGTTGATGAATCCAATTTTCCAGAATAGATGATTCTGATGATTCAGATGATTCTGATGTTAGTTCTGTTTAGAAATAACTCCAAGAACAGTTTTTACATTTTATTTTCACATTGAAAATCAGTCAGATTTGCTTCAGCCTCAAAGACCATGTTTATGTAAAATTAAATGAACTCTGGCAGCAAGCTGCACTTTTTTTTTTCTAAATGGGAAAAGCATTAAAGATGTCATCCCATTATCATGAGTTTTAAAAAATGTATTTTTGTTCTTCAAATATACCTGATGATGATACAGGCCTATACCCTTGATGGATGTAAATGCAAAAATCCTCAACAAAATACTGGCAAACTTGAGTCCAGCAGCCTATCACAAAGTTAATTTACCATAGACCCACAGACAAATAGGCTTCTTTCATAAATTGCAAAGTTGATTTAACATATGCAAATCAATAAATGTGATTCACAAATAATCTGAATTAAAAACAAAAACCATATGATCATCCCAATAGATACAGAAAAATCTTTCAATAAAATCTAACACCGCTTCATGATAAAAAAAAAAAAACCCTCAAGAAACTAGGCATTGAAGGAACATACCTCAAAACATAAGAGCCTTCTATGACAAACCCACAGCCAACATCATACTGGACAGGCAAAAACTGAAAGTATTCCCCTTTCAGAGATCTAGAATAGGTAAGAATGCTCACTGTCATCACTCCTATTCAACATAGCACTAGAAATGCTAGCCAGAGCAATCTGACAAGAGAAATAAAATCATCCAAATAAGAAAACAAGTCACGCTATCTCTCTTCACTAATGATATGATTCTATACCTACAAAACCCTCAACAATCTACTAAAAGGCTCCTAGAACTGACAAATGACTTCAGTAAATGTTCAGGATATAAAATCAATGTACAAAAATCAGAAGCATTTCTTTTTTCTTAATATTGTTTTGACAGAATCTCACTCTCTTTACCAGGCTGGAAGGCTATTCTGTGACCTTGGCTCACTACAGCCTCAACTTCCTGGGTTCAAGCAAACCTCCCACCTTAGCCTTGCAAATAGCTAGGACCTCAGGTACATGTCACCTTGCCTGGCTCATTTTTGATTTTTTTTTTTGGTAGAGTTAGGGTCTCACTTTATTGTGCAGGGTTGTCTGCAACTCCTGGGCTCAAGTGATCCTTCTGCTTCAGCCTCCCAAAGTGCTAGGATTACAGTTGTGAGCCACCACACTGGGCCTTCAGTAACATTTCTATACTTCAATAATGTTCATGCAGAGTCAAATTAAGAAGGCTATTCCATTTTCAATAGCCATAAAAAGATAAAATACCCAGGAATACATCTAATCAAGGAGGTGAAAAACCTTTGCAAGAACTATAAAACATTGCTGAAAGAAATCATAGATGAAGCAACCAGAAAAACATCCCATGCCTTGTGGATTGGAAGAACCAATATCATTAAAATATCCATACTGCTCAAAGCAATCTATAGATTCAACATTATTCAATTAAACTACCAACATTGTTTTTTACAGAACTAGTAAAAACTGTTCTAAAATTCATATGGAATGAAAAATGAGCCAGAATAACCCAAAGCAATCATAAGAAAAAGCTGTGGACATCACATTACCTGGCTTAAAACTATAAGACTACCATAACAAAAACAGTATAGTACTGGTACAAAAACAGATACATGAACTGATGGACCAGAATAGAGAACCCAGAAATAAGGCTGCACGTATACAGTAATCTGATCTTCAAAAAATTCGACAAAAGTAGGGAATGGGAAAGGACTCCGTATCCAATAAATAGTGCTGGGATACTTGGCTAGCCATATGCAGAAAAATGAAATTGGATGTCCACTTTTTACCATATACAAAATTTAACTCAAGGTGGATTAACTATTTGAATGTAAGAGCTACAACTATAAGAATTATAGAAGAAAATCTAGGAAACACCATCCTGGACATCAGCCTTGGGGGAAAAAATTATTACTAAGTCCTCAAAAGCAATTGCAACAAAAACAAAAATTGACAAATGGGGTAATTAAAGAGCTTCTGCACAGCAAAGGAAACTATCAACAGAGTAAACAGACAACCTACAGAATGGGAAAAAATAGTCACAAATCACGCATCCAACAAAGATCTAACATCCAGAACATATAAGGAACTTAATTCAACAAGCAAAAAACAAATACCTCCATTAAAAATGGGCAAAGGGCATGAAAGTACACTCTAAAAAGCAGAAATACAAGCAGCCAACAAACATATGAAAAAATACCCTTCTACATCACTAATCATCAGAGAGATGCAAGTAGAAACCACAATGAGACACTATCTCACATAGGTCAGAATGTATCTGATTAAAAAGTCAAACACAACATATCTGGTGAGGATGTGGAGAAAAGAGAGCACTTACACATTGTTGGTGGGAGTGTTAACTAGTTTAGCCACTGTGAAAAGCAGTTGGGAGATTTCTCAAGAAACTTAAAATATAACTATCATTTGATGCAGCAATCCCATTACTGGGTACATACATAAAGGAATATAGAACATTATACCAAAAAGACACATGCACTCATATGTTTATTGCAGCACTGCTCATAAGAGCAGATACATCACATCAACCTAGGTGCCCATCAATGGTTGATTGGATTAAAAAATGTGGTACACATACACTGTGAAATACTATGCAGTCATTAAATGAACAAAATCATGCCCTTTGCAGCAACATGGCTACAGCTGGAGGCCATAATCTTAAGCAAATTAATGCAGGAACAGAAAATGAAATACTGTATATTCTCACTTATAAGTGGAAGCTAAACATTGTTTATTCTTGGACATAATGTTGGCTACAGTAGAAACTGGGAACTACTAGAAGAGGGGAGGGAGAGTGTGGGCCATGTGTTGAAAAACTATTGGTTATTTTGTTCACTTCCTGGGTGGCACTACCAATTGTACTCCAAACCTCAGCATCCTGCAATAGCCCCAGATAACAAACCTGCATTGACCAGGCATGGTGGCTCATACCTGTAATCCCATCACTTTGGGAGGCTGAGGAGGGGGTATCACTTAAGCCCAGAACTTTGAGACCAGTCTGAGCAACACAGTCAAACCTCATCTCTATAGAAAAAAAAAATGAAAAAAATGGCTAGATATGGTGTCACACACCTGTAGTCCCAGTTACTCAGAATGCTGAGGCTGGAAGATTGCTTGAGCTCAGGAGGTGGAAGTTGCAGTGAGCTGAGATCTTGCCATACCATTCCTGTGGGGATGACAGAGAAAGACCCTGTATAAAGAATAAACAAAAACAAAAAACACCTGCACATGTGCATACGTATTCTCTAAATCTAAAATAAAAGTTGAAATTATTAAAATAATTGGGGAATAGAAAGGCATGCCATTTTATTGTTATAGTCATATGAGTTTTAAGACATTCAGCTTACAGTTATATCCTCAAAAAATTAAAGGACAGATATGTTGGGTCATCTTTGACTCAGTTTGAATTTTCTCTGGCTCTTCCATTTTCTAATTTGGGATCTTAGGTTAGTAACTGAGTTTCTTTATCTGTATAATGAAGGGTCAGACCAAGTATTCTCTAAGATATCTTCCAGTTCTAAAGTTCTAAGTTAATGTTTGTATAACCTTCAACTCTTTATGACCACTTATTTTGAGCTTTTCAAATGGCTAGTCACAGATACTGCTAATCTTTTACTAATGGCACTATGCAGTTTGAAGTAACATTAACCCTTGTCCTGTTTGCCACAAGAATACTTGCCAGCAGTGTTTGCAGCTGCAACATTTACCCCAAGATAACTTTGCCATGAAATATCTCACTTTTATTGTTATATTCACATTGGTCTAGTATAGCCCACTTTGGAAATGAAAGACATCATACTATTTACAGCATTCTGCTTTTAGTAGTGGTATTTCCATTTACAAAATACAGTCATTCCTGATTCCTGAAAATGTGAAATCCTATAAACTGTAGCATTCCTATGTGTGATGTTAACATTGTTTTCAAACAATTGTTGGCCAAAGATTCATTTGATGAATCCTATTTTTTTCCGAAATAGATGATTCTGATGATTCAGACGATTCTGATGTTAGTTCTGTTTAGAAATAACTCCAAGAATAGCTTTTACATTTTATTTTCACATTGAAAGTCAGTCAGATTTGCTTCAGCCTCAAAGATCATGTTTATGTAAAATTAAATGAACTCTGGCAGTGAGCTGCACTTTTTTTTTCTAAGTGGGAAAAGCATTAAAGATGTCATCCCATTATCATGAGTTTTAAGAAATATATTTTTGTTCTTTGAATATACCAAATTCTTAATTTCCCATGAACTTTACCTTCTAATTCCTCTTTATTTTTTGTGCTAATTAAATATTGATATATACTCCTTACTGGGCATTAAAAGGAAAACTTTATGGTGGTTTGGAGTGTTTGTGACTGTATCATCTCTACACTGTCATCTCTGTACTATTTGACAACTGGTTTATGGGTCAAAACTGTTGGACAATGCACAACTTAGATTGTGATAAACAAGTTTTACTGGAGTAAACTACATATATTACAAAGCACATTCCATGTAGACTAGTGTACTTCAGCAGTCATTGGAGCTCTTTTTAAGTGTGATGTACAAATACGGCCTCAGAGTGTAGCATGCAGTCTGAGAGAATATAAGGTAAGAGCATTCAATTGTACCCAGAGCCTGTGTGTTTGGGTATGTGTTTGTGTATACAAAATATATCCACAATCTACATATCAAGTATACTGGAAGATAGAGTTGAGAGCAAGAGCAGGAGAGACAAAGATATGAAAAAATAGCATTGTAGTAAGTGATCACTGCATAGGGTAGTATTCAATGGGCTACCCTACAGAGCTACCCTACAGAGCCTGCCTCATTCTTTCACATCCTTTATATTGTCTATAGCTTCTCTTACCAGCCTATCCCTCCCTCATTCAATATCCTTGATATCACTGACTCATCTTTCAATTTAGAATTATTTCAAACAAAACACCAAATATTATTTTCTCAACTTTTTTCTTTCAATAATTCTTCCCTTTTCCTCATTTATAGTCCTAACTGGACAAGTTAACTCTCTTCTGTCATTTAAATAACATCTGAGAGTATTATTATGCTGTGAAACCACCCCTGACACTGCCCCACCCACCACTGTTATCTCTCTCTTGGGAGTGTATGCCTCCTATGTTATGGCAGCTACTGTTTCAATTTCTTATCATCTAATTTTATACCTCTATTTTTTGTCATTCTCTCGTGTAACAGTGAAAGGAAGAAAAGTAGTTCATTTCCTTCTCATATGAAACAGAAGCTGCCATTTCCATTCACAGCTCTCCCATTCCTTCCTTATTTTGAATGTTTTAGCATTTTCTATTATATTTTAATTTCTCAATTGTATTTTTATTATTTCTTTAGAATTTTTAGTATTTTGACTTTCAAAGTCTATTTAGAATCAATATTTTACCAATTCAAGTAGAATGATAACTCTTGGCACTTTTTCCTTTGTATTATGTCTACATATATTGAACTTCTTTCCAGGCAATGTTATAAATTTTGCGTCAACTATAAACATATTTTAAGGAGCTCAAAAGGAGAAGATAATCCATTATATTTACCCAGATATTTACCATTTCTTTTTTCTTCCTTCTTCCAGACAGTTCAAGTTTTCTACTGGCATTATTTCTCTTCTAACTGAAGAATTTCTTTTAGAATAGGTCTCTGATTCTCTTAGTTTTCTTTCATCTGGGAATGTCTTCATTTAACTTTTATTACTGAAGTACATTTTGTCTGTATATAGAATTCTGGAATTACCATTCTTTTCCTTCGATACTTTGAAAATATTGTTCTACTTTCTTCTGGCCTCCGTGTTTTCGATCAGAAATCAATGGAAATTCAAGTCATTTTTTTCCCTATAAGTGACATGCTGTTTTTCTATAATTTTAAGATTTTCTTTCCTTTGTCATTAGTTTTTAGGAAGTTAATTGTTGTATGTCTGGACATAATATTTTGGAGTTTATCCAGTTTGGGTTTTGCTGAGCTTCTCAAAACTGTAAGTTTATGCCTTTTGCCAAATTTAGAAAGTTTCGAGCCTTTATTTCTTTAATTTTTTTTTTGCGCTACATTATTTTTCCTCTTCTTAAACTCTGATGTCCAGAGTGTTTGATCTTTTGGTTTTGTCCCACAGGCTCCTGGGGCTCTATGCACTTTTTAAAACCTTTTTTTTTTTCCTCTCTGTTGTTCAGTTTGGATAAATCCCTAGCGCTCCTTTCTTTGCTCCTGCAGCCAGAAATCTGGGGTTTTGGTGACTAATGTCTGCCCTGGCTGTGACTGTGCCCACGTCTGGGGACAACTATTTGGAAAACAGAAAGATAGAGAAGAAAAGGTAAGGGGCAGGGGTATTCACCTATCCTCCTAAGACCATAGCTCCTTTGATGAGAAAATAAATTCTGCCATCTCCCATTTTTAAGGGCCTGCTGCCCTCACTGCCACCTGCGTCACTTCTACAACCATTGCCTTTGTTGGCTTGTCTGGAGGCTGGGGTTTTAGAAAACAGAAAACAAAAGAGGCTGCCGGAATGTATCCAAGATATCACATGTTGCCGCCTTCTCTGCTTGGCCATCTTGCTCTGAGATGTTTCTCTAACCTTGCCTAAATAAATTGAAGAATTACAGGGCTGAGCCCAAGAGAACATACATTTATAAGGTTGTTTTCCCAGGCTCCTGTTACTTCATAATTTCTCCAGCAATTTCTTCTTCTCTGGCGTGATCTTCTTTCTGGTCTTCCAAACAGAAAACTGGAACTTTAGCTGCCCTTCTCTGTGGCACACTTCTTACAACTGCACCAGCCAACTGTCTATGGCCAACTGATGGGAGAATAGGAAGCATAAAAATGCCCCATTTTCTTGGAACCACAGCGTCATCTTAGATTATCCTAATTTCAGCATACTGGTTATTTTCATTTGTGGCCTTGAATGGTTAAACTGCTTTACTTTTACTCATAGCATGTATTTCCCCTGATATATTACATGTTTTTTAGATTACTGGTTTGAAATCTGACTCCCTTTCCCATACTAGAAAGTAATCTTTACAATGACATAAACTTTATTCATTTCTGTATTTTCAGCATGAAGAACAGTGCACAAATCTTAAGATGCTCAATAAATATTGTAAAAGTAATGAAGAGCTAATTCCTCAGAGGGAATTGAAGAATTGGCCTGAGCTTTTTGCTCATTGCCCAATTATGCTATACAATTCTTCTCCTGACTCTTAACGAGTAATATCAAAGGATATAGGAGGCCAGAAAAGCCTCTTCAAGGAAATAACTAGTAATTTTCAATTTAAAAATTCATTAATGCCTGTTTTAACTATGGAAAGGGAAGGTCTGAGAAATCTTTACCTTACATCATAAAACTTTCTGTACATGTATTAGTTATTTATTGATGCTGTAAAAAAAAAAAGGAAACACCACAAACTTAGCAGCTTAAAACAGTACAGATTTAATATCTTAATGTTCTTTAGGTAATGAGTCTGGCATATATCTCACTGGGGTAAAATCAAAGTATTGGCAGAGCTGTGTTCCTTTCTGGAGACTCTACAGGATAGTCTATTTCTTGCTCACATGGATTGTGGGCAGGATTCAGTTCCTGTGGTTGTGGGATTTAAGTTATTGTTTTCTTGCTGGCTGTCAGCTGAAGGCTGGCCTCCTTTCTAGAGGCTACCCATGTTTCCAGGGGCTTCCTTGGCTTGTGGTCCCCTTCCTCGACCTTCAGTGTCAGCAACAGTGGGTCAAGTTTCTCTTACATTTTGAATCTCTTCTTTTTCTTCTGTCTCATCTTTCTGATCCAGGCAGTAAAGGCTCTCTGCTTTTAAGGACTCAAGTAATTACACTGGGTCCCCCTGAATAATCAAGCATAAAGTCTCAAGATCCAGTTACCTCAATAACATCTGCAAAATCATGCCATATAGTACAAAATGTTGACAGATCCTGGAAATTAGGGCATGGCTATCGTTGGGGGACCATTATTCTGCGCACCACACTATAGGAATGGCTTTTTAAAAGATGCAAGATGACAAAGGTAATAATTAACTGTAAATGTTAAGATCATATAATATTCTGAGCAATTTTTAATGTAAAATTAAAATATTTATTCTTAACAATAAGATATTTAACATTATGAAAAGAACTGTGTCTTGGAGCTTTGTGATTTGTGAAAATTTAGTATAAGCTAATTGAGATGGTTTTTTTATGATTCTCAGAGGGGACAGTCACAGAAATAATTTTCTGCTATTTCTACTAGGAGAATATCAAATTCTAGTACAAATTAAACACATTTAATTGACATATATAAAGCTTACATTGGTGTAATATTTTATGTTTCAGAAATCATTTCATTTAAAATAGATCATCTTGTTGGTTTAAACTAGTTGAAATAAAATTGGAGAGTGATAACAGGCCTGAAAAAATAATTATTAAAACATTCTTTCCCAAGATGGGTATCTTGAAAAAGGATTTATATATAGTTATATTTATATTTTTCTTTTAATCTTTGCTTGAGGTTATGGCTACACTGGCTCCTGAGATGAGTATACCCCTAGAGAGTCTTCCACTGACATTCTTTAAATATAAAGAAAAGCCATGTTTTTCCAAATCCTGTACAGAAAGAGTACAATGTAGAGTGGACAACACAGGATAAGGTAGAAAACTGTTCATAAGGCTGAGAACCCGAAACAGATGCCTAAAGAGTTTCATTTTAAAGCAGA
This sequence comes from Homo sapiens, assembly GCF_000001405.40. Lineage (NCBI taxonomy): Eukaryota > Metazoa > Chordata > Mammalia > Primates > Hominidae > Homo > Homo sapiens. Next base: position 38,247,574 of record NC_000012.12, on the reverse strand, counting down.
TTGAGAATGCGGCCAAGGTTTCCTGAACTTCTCCACCTGGGAGAGATCACAGGGCCTTTCTCAGATAAGGCAGAACAATGACTTCATGCTGAATGGTATGGAGCCTTCCACAAGGTTGAGGTAATTTTGTCTCCATTAACTGAATATGTCACTAGTACATAAGTGTTTCATGTATGGCCATGGCTCCAACCACTAAAATAACAAGTGAACAACCAAGTAATTATCAAGGTTCTGATAATATAGGCAGAATGAAAATCTTTCATATTACCTACCAATTTAGGCTAACTTTGTGTGAAGACCTGAGTGACCAGGGCCATTCCCACTGACTTGACTGTGCCTGGAATGACTCATCAGCTCCCATGATCCTTGAGTTATCTACCATGATAATACACCCTGACTGGAGGTATGACAGACACCGTGAGAATGGTATAGCGCTCGTATGTAGATTCTGGCCAGTCCACCTCCATTTGAACAACAATGCTTGTTATATTATTGAGTATCATTTGATTACTCTGCCCCTAGAAATTCCATTTGTGTCCTAAGTTATACTAGAGCAACATTTATGTAAAAACATTTGCTGAGCAGAGTTTGCTTTCTCATTAGATAATGGTGTTATATCCAAGAACATGCCAAAGGTTGAAGTAGAGGCAGAGTATATCAGGACCATGAACATGTAGCAGTAGAAGCTACAGTGTGGATAGTTCCAGTGTCTTCTGGGGAACTTCTATCAGATAAAGCACAAAGGTTTCACCACTTTCTTCCCTTCTACTTGAAAACTTTAAAGATTGTGCAGAAAAGTGCATATCTTATAATATACAGCTCAGTAAGTTTGCATGAAGGTATCACACCCATGTAACAGCACAAAAATCAAGAAACAGAATATTACTACTATTTCAGAAGTTTTTCTTAGCTCCATACCAGACCCAAATGCAACTACTATCATAGCTTCTCACCATAGGTTGATTCTACTTGTGATTGAACTTTACATAACTAGGATAATATAGTATGTATTCTTGTCTTTGGCTTCTTGAATTCCACATTAGCTTTATGATATTGATTTATGCTGTTAGTTATAATTGCAATTAATTTTCAAGGTTTTTTTGTGAAAGACTGCAATTTATTTATTTCAACGTTAATACACATTCACATTGTTTTTAGTTTTTGTCTATTATTCATAGTGCTGAAAAAGAACTTTCTTGTTCATCATTTTGTACATACACACAATTCTGTCAGATATAACTAGATGTGGCTCTCTGGGTCATAGGATATACATGTGGTTAACTTTAGTAGGTTCTGACAAACAGTGTTCCCAAATTTGTTGCACAAACTTGAACTCCCACCAGCAGAGTAGGAACATTTTAATTGTTCTACATCTCCCCAATACATGGTATCATCAGCTTTTAAAAAGAATTGTAGTCATTCTGGTGCATGTGAAGTGAGATTACTTTATAGCATTTCCTTGGTGACTAAGAAAATATATCATCTTTTCATGTGTTTTAGCTATTTAGATTTTTTTTCATTATTTTGCCCATTTTAGGATTAGATTGTCTACAATCCCACTGTTCTAAGAATATTGTTAAAGAACAACACAATAGAGCTTGATATACTGGTGATAATGCCAAGTATTCTGGTGGCTACCACTGAAAAGATGCTCTACTATAGCTGACCAAAACTGGTAACAGAGTGAAGCAATATAAGAATGGTCATGGTAAGAGGCTGAAATGCATGTAGTTTGCCTAGCCATGACTAATCAGCATCACACAGATATTGTTTGCTTGGTGTACACCAACACAAGAGTTGTAACCAGTGACTTGTACTGTGGTACAGCAAGTGGACAGAACTGGTTGTTGTATGCCTATTTGGGAGTAATTAATTATAGACAAATGTTCCAATCATGCCTAAATTCAAAATGAACATGAGAAATCCCATTAATGTGATCCTCAGATGGGGAATTGACAGCTTGATATTTTTATATATTCCTCATAGATGAACTCATAGATGGTTGAATGAATTTAAGAGGTATGGGGACAAACCATGTATATATCAATCACATTTCAAACCACGTAAACATATTCTTACATATATGTGTGTGTGTGTGTATACACACACACACACACACACACACACACAACCCTTATGAACAGCTTATACTTTGTGATGGTTAATTTTAGGTGTCAACATGACTATATTAAGGAATACCTAGAGAACTGGTAAAGCATTATTTTTTAGTATGCTTATGAGAGTGTTTCCAGATGAAATAATCCTGAGAGTTTGAGTGGACCAAGTGCAGAAAATCCTTCCTCAATGTAGGCAGGCACCATCCAATGGCTGGAGACTTAGATAGAACAAAAACAAAGGAAAAGTAAATTGGTGTCTCTCTCTCTTTCTCTCTCTCTCTCCCTCTCTCTCCCTCTCTCTTGGATCTGGGATACACTCTTCTTCTCCTACCTTTAGATATCAAAACTCCAGAATCTCTGACCTTTGGACTCTGGGACTTACTTACACCAGTGTCCTCCTGGGTTCTTAGGATTTTGGACTTGGACTGAGCCATGCTATTGACTTCCCAGGGTCTCCAGCTTGCAGACAGCCTGTCATGGGACTCCTCAGCCTCCATAATCATGTGAGCAAATTTTCCTAATAAATCCCCTCTCAAATATATATATATATATATATATATACACACACACACATATATGTATATATATATAACTAATGTATATATTACTTATGTATATTACTAATATATTTATCATTTATAATAAATGCATATGTGTATATGTATATATGTATGATGAGCCATTTCTATTGGTTCTGTCTCTCTGGAGAACCCTGACTAATACATACCTAATTACCACTCAGGCAACCAGCACCAATAATCAATCATTTTCTTCTTAATATTCCTGAATCCTTAAGTGCTATTAAACTGTGCTTTATTTGTTAACAGAAATAGGGACCAGTGTAAATCTAACTGGTATGAAACCCATAAGGCCAGGAGCGACCATTAGACAAGGGAACAGCTGTGCCATTCATGAAGCTATTGTCTCTGAGCTCCAAACACACTGTTCCATATTCTATTTTACTAGGGCTCAATCTCTACACACCACAATTCTACTTTTCTAGCTGGTATTCTTTAGGCTTTGTTGATAGGGTGTGCTAGAGAGACATTGAAAGCCTAGAAGAAGAAGAAGAAACTTGCTCTTCCCTGTGCATTTATCTGCTTCATGACTGCTTTCTTTTCCTGCGTGTTTCATTCTAGTAACGATTTTTCACTCCAGGGGTACAATTCCTTCTCATAGCAGCAGAGGTGTCTAATTTGCAAATACTCTTTAATGTGAAGACTACCTTCAGAGTAAGTTTACAGGCACCCCCTCTTCAGAGAGCTGAGTCAAAGTTGCTGTTGGGCACCTTCTGGTGTTTAGAGAAACCAGCACCAGGTAAGCATGCCATCCTCAAAGCTTGTGTTTTAAATCTACAGGTCTCTTATCCTCACTTTTAAGTTTTACTAATCTTAAACTTGTGCCTTTGTTTCTTCAGCCTTAGGGATGATTGCTGCCTCCTATCACTGCTATCCCCCCGAAAATTCACTGTTGTGTTTCCTTTTCAGTTACTCTGTTGAAAACGCATCCTAATTATTGTGTTTTTATATATTAAATTTTTTCTATACAAATAACTAGTGTAGTTTATGTTTCCTCACTGGGCTCTGACTGATACAGAAGACAGAAGGTCTTCTCTATTTAGGATGCAGACTAGCTCATGCCACCCCAGTTATCACCACAAAGGACTGAAGATATAGAAATGGGGGATATTGTTAGAGAACAATTAAAACAATGAAGATATAGAACTTACAGTTCTTCCAACCAGGATATTCATTTCACTAGTAAGGCAGTATAAAACTGGGTGTAAAAGAAGTACCTTAAATTTTCATGACATGTAACCCAACACCTATGGCTAAATGTGTTAATCAAATGGGCTATTCAGTTGTTCCTTCTATAAACTAGCACTGCCATGGTACATAGGGATTATCTGACAATATAGTTAAATATTCAATGTATTTGAATGTGTGAGACTTTTAGGTAGAGTCTGGGTGGACTCATTTATTAGGGAGACAGATATAAGTAGGTTAATATAGGATTGAACCTTGAGATAAGTTTTATAAATGCTATATAGAACCATTTTATTCCCATTGATTACATCTATTGATTATAGGCATGGGCTTTTGGGTGAAGGTGCCAGAAAGGGCCTTTCTCAGACTTAAGTTCCTTTGATGATCTATACTACAATTAGGCAATGGATACTATTAGTAGCTTCATGAATTGAATTCAAAATTCCTGCAGCCCTGTATGCTACATTGAAAGGGATGATGAAGCTAGCAAAGTCTATTAATGTAATAACCTCTCGTTAATTCTGAATGTCCACCTATTCTATATCCCAGTTGAACTGAATAGTTTAGGGATCACCAAAGAAGACCTAGAGAAGGAGCCAACTTGGTAACATGAAGCCAGTTTTGCAGGAAATAAAATTTGGTAACAAAATAAGCTTTCTTCTGTTTATCTAAGCTGTGATACTTAGTAGAGGACTATATTCTTTCTAATGTTATTTCTATAAGTTACAGCTGAGCTATGAAGGTAAGACTCTCCTGGGTGCAATGCCCTATCTACTACTCAATTGGTTGTGACAACATTTATGTCAATTATATATGTAGGTCAAGAGCAGTCAGGATTATTTTGGGGTCAGAAGAACAATATTTATGACTAGCAGGAAGTTTATTTTTTTAATGTTTTGCAACTATTATTGTTGGAGAAAATGAATATATAATTGTAGTCATCAGACCACTCACTGTCAGAACCATCCAGATCATAAAAGAGTACCAAATTCAAGACAATAGACTTTTTAGGGCCTTGGAAACTGGATACAGAGATTTTTCTCAGAAATGCTTAGAAACTGGTCAAAACTGGTTCTAGTTTTGCAAAATGAGGATGTGACTTCGATGATATAAAATTTGGTTAGAAGAAAAGAGAGCCTGACATTTGTAAACATTATCTTGCGTGAAGGGATTATTTGCCGAGATTACATGTATAAACCCCTATTAGAGATATTGGAGACTAAAGTCTGTGTGTGTGTGGGTGGGGGTGGGGGGTGTTTGTGTGTGTGTGTGTGTGTGTGTGTGTGTGTGGGTGGGTGGCTTCCTACCACCAGTTATCTCTAGGTAAATGCTGCAGCTACAAACACTGCTGGCAAATATTCAATACAGGTGTTCTCAATACAGATTAAGACTTTTAATCAACAATTTCAGTAGAGCTTTTGATATTTAATGTTTTTGGCTTAATTTTATAATAACAGTGAAAAACAAGGAATATATAAAAGGAGGAAACAAGGTTGGAAAAAAACCCAAAACCTGAAACTAAACCAAAGATTTCTCTTGGATACTCTCTAAATACGAATTTCCTGCTAGTGGTATAAGACAAGTTATTTAATTTCTCTGTGTTTCATTGTTCTTAATGTACAATGAGGATAATAATAGTCCCTAGCTCAGGGCTCCTATAAAGAAATCAGATACTACATATAAATTAATTACTAGGTTGTCTGGCACAAAGTACTAAATAAATATTAGCTACTAGTATTGCCTATTATTATTACTATCATTAATTGGAGGAGGAGAATAAAGAGGAAGAAAGTCATCTGAGGCCACAGAGTGGCTGTCAGGGAGCCTAATCTATTTTAATTGCAGCCTTTTATTATTAACATCTGTGTTGAAATGTTTCCACATTCTCTTTTCCACTGCTGTTGGGATAAAGTCCAAGTTCGTTAGTAAGATGTTTAAGTGTGTTTTGAATGAGACTTCAATGATGCTGTCAATCATCACATGTTTTAACTATTCTGATCTACTTGATAATTCTCAAACATAAACTTCATATTTCCATATATTTGGTAATTTTTCCTTTTGTTGGAGTGTCCTGCCCTTTCCCTTTATATATCTGTCAAATTGTTATTTACCCTTTATTACATAGCTGTCTTAGACAGAGATTGTTTGGATGCAGTACCAGAGATCACCTTAAGCTAAATTGTATAAAAACTGTGAATTTAATGGTAGGACATACAAGGCTATCCAACAGAACCTAAGGGCGAGAACTACAGTCAAGCCTCAGGAGGACTAGAGTCAGAAATTGGAAAATAGCCTGGAATCAAAACTTTTTTCTTGCTCTCCTTGTCTCTTTCTGTGAAGCTAAATGTCATTTTGTTATCTTTCCTTCAGTGTAGGCTTCATTCTTCTATCTCTCTGAAATTGGGTTCTTTTTTTTTTCATGTACATGATGGAAAATAGCTACCACAGGCTTTGTTTTCTTTCAATTTAGTTAATAACATAATGGTTTAGAATTTTTATTTCCAAAGTACTGGTTTTTTTTGAAAAAAATTGTCAAATTACTCTAGCTTGGGCCAAGCTTCTCCTGTAGGATCAGCCTTGGCTAGGAGAAGCATAGATATTTACTCAAACATATCTTCAGGGCCACCTCTTGATGGGAAGAAAAGGATGCATGGCTAGGAAGAGTTTATGTAGGGCAGGATGCCTGCATTTATCTTCTCTTTAAAGCATATTCAAACTCCTGCCAGGTAGGATTTGTTATTCCTCTCTGTGAGCCTTTAGAACTCATCATATCATAATATTGCTAATTATACAGAACACACATAAATATCCTCATTACAGTGTGAGTGCCTCAAAGACTAGTGTGTTGTCTAATTTATCTTTATATTTTAAGCACTTAATAGTGATACAGTCCTCAAAGAGATCCAAGTAATAGGGGAAAGCCAAGAATAATAATTTCAAGAGAAGGAAATATTTTATAAGAGAAAGCAGCATTATAGAAGTTCAGGAAAACTAGAAATAATTTTTTATGTTAGTGACCATGAAGTTTTCATGAACAACGTGGCATGTTAATTGTACCTTGAAGGACATGTCATTTTTGCCAGGTAAAGAAGTTAAAGGCATTTTCACCTGCAAAAAAAAAAAAAAATTTTTTGAAAGTAGAGAAATAGTAAGATGTATACATGGAAATGTAATGTGAGATTCAATAAAATTGTGTGGTCATTTGGAACCCATAAAAGGGACAAATGCAAGGTAAGATGGTAAATATAATTTGTATAAATTTAAAAAGATTTCAGTGAAACAATATTTATTTTTTGTACTATATTTTGCAAGATAATAATTAAACAAATAGATATATTTTAAATTTAACCCCTTTCCCATTTAGAAAAGAAAAAAAAAGTACAGCTTGCTGCCAGCACTCATTTAATTTTACGCAAACCTACTCTTCAAGGCTGAGGCAAATCTGACTGATTTTCAATGTGAAAATAAAATATAAAAATGTTCTTGGAGTTATTTCTAAACAGAACTAACATCAGAATCATCTAAATCATCAGAATTGTTTATTTTGGTAAAATAGTATTCATCAAATGAATCTTCAGCCAACAAATGTTTGAGAATGATGTTAACATGTAGGCATGTGACATTTTTTAGGATTTGACATTTTCAGCGATTGAGAATTACTATATATATTTTTAAATGGACAGAACACTAATAAACACAGAATGCTATAAACAGAATGATTGTCTTTTGTTTCCAAAGTTGATATACCAGAGGAATGTGAAAATAATAATAAAAGCGAGATATTTCATGGCAAAGTTATCTCTATGTAAATGCTGCAGCTGCAAGCACCGCTGGCGAGTATTCTTGTTGCAATCAGGACAAGGGTTAAAATGGTTGCTTGTGGAATAAAAGTGCTGTCTGAGGATAAAAGAAAATAATAAGTGTATAATGAGGAGGCTAAATTGTATACTTTTGTTTGCCAGAAAAACCTATTTAACAACAGCCCGTTTATTGGAAAAGTTTACTAATAAATGGCATTCAATAAATCATCAGATCAAAGATTTATATTTTAGTCTTACCAGAGTGGGAACAAATGAGAACAAGCAAAGGCTATTCTGAGCTTGCTATAGCAATGGGGTCAGCCACCATCACTAGTGTTTGGTACAGACTCAAAGGCAGGCAAAGGAATAGGAATACTTTATAGTGGGAAATGGAAAGCCTTCAGGTGTGCCTTGATTAGGGGTGTTGGCGTGGAAAAGCCATAGGTGGGATAAACTAGAAGTGAGGCATCCTATGTGATTGGCTTGGAGAACATATTTGGATGCCTCTAGATGGTCCTGAAGTCATGCAAAAATTGGGGAAGCCATCGATTATTAGTCAAGTCCAGGGCATTTGGGGCCACATGTTACAAGGTTATCATTTGGCTTCCCAGATCATTTACTATGAATAGTGGTCTGATTTCTTACAAGTCTGACTTGCATATAGTAGGTTGGCATCCTAAGCTGTTTATTATAGGTAAGGAGTTTGTTTTCTGGGCTGGTTACTGCAGATTGGGTGTTAGAGTTCTATTTTTATGTATGGGTTGGCCATTGTTGGTTTGTATATTTAGTTTCTCATCTACAAACATAATCAATGCTTGAAGGTACAAAGGGAATCTTTTTTATCTATACAGGTCCATTACAGAGAACTACACTAAGCTCTTATTTATTATAAATATGTTGAACAGATTAAATATATAAATAGTTATAAGTGAGGAAAACAAAATATTCTTATATAGTATCCCAAATTTTTAGGTCTAAAAACTTATGGGCATAACAATATTGTAGTAGTAGTAACAATACTTTTGTCTCCTATCTTCATTTTCTTGTTAAGTATTTATAGTTTTTCTCCAAATATTTAAATGTTAGACCAATTCCTACAGATCCTACTTGATGCCATTGTTTATTATTACTTCCCCACCAAATAAAAGTCATCTTTTTTACTGAATAAAGATTTCTTGCCTGGTTCTTTCTTTCTTTCCACAGGAAACTCTGTAATTCATACTTAGAATAGGCTTCTAACAAGCCTTTCTCTTCAGTCAGTACATACCCAGGCAAGTGTGTAACCCATTTTCTTCTGAAGCTGGGATTTGTGCTGTAAATAAATAAAACACTCACCACCAAGTCAGTCTGAATAAAATGCATTATTCTGCCTTTGCCACAGGGTAAGTGTTCTCATCTGGCCTGTGCAGCATTTGATGCCTTTGATGACTCACTTTCTTGAAATACTTTGACTTTGATTCCCAGAACCTTTTGAATTTCTTCCCACATATCTGTTTCCCTTCACTATCATGAACAAGTTGTCTTTTTCTTTGTCATCTCATTCAAGTTCCAGTCTCAGAAGTCTTCTCTTCCTTAACTCACACTCCCTAAATGATCTCCTATTTGATCCTGTGGCTTCAATGACCCTTTATTTGCTAATTACCAAGCATTTATCTCTCACAGGTTGTATACCTGCATCTCCAGCCACCTATTGGATGTATTTCTTGGAGACTGGAGTAATCCAAGTTCTTATCCTAGATAAATATTGGAATAATCTAGATCATTATTTTTTGGGTTTCATCCAGAGGGGGAAAACAAAATAAGGATCCATGTGGAGATGAAAATGAAATATTAGTTTTAGATTAGAGCTATTTGGTAATTTCTGAGTTGGAGAACGTGACAAAACTCCCTTTCCTTTTTCACTTTCCTGCCAACCATCCTCAGTACATACACATATACTCTCTCTCCCTCACCCCCCTCTCTCCCTTTTCTTGCCTTCAGGCTAGAAGAGAAAACTATGACCTTTCTTATATTCCATGCAGCAGAGGAACAACAGAGAGAGAAAAGAGATAAATCTTCACTAAATTCTTTTTTTTTTTTTTTTGCCCCACTCTGTCAATTTCACTCAATGGATGCCAAAGTCTCTCTAACTTGGCAAATAGATTGGTTGCTTTTTCACACACATGGAGAGATGTTTGAGAAAGAAGTAATGAGGGGGACAGAATAGTATTATTCTGATACTTACCTCTCTTTAAGGAAAACATGAAGGAGAATTAAGTTTCTACCAGTGCTCTCCAGTTGGATATCCTAAAGGGACTTGGGTTTTGATAGACAAAACTGCAGCCTTTCATTTTACTGTTAAGTCTCAGGCTGCTTTTCCTCCTAGTCTCACTGACTCAGTGAACATAATCATCCTCCAGTTATTAAACTGAGAATGAGGATAAGACAGAAATATGCATTTCCTATTATTTCTTGATCTTCTAGGAAGTGTTAAAATACTAAAAATAGAGAAAGATGTACATTCCTCTTCACAACAATATCACTTTTTAGCAAGTGGTATTTTACAATTTCATGATGCTATTTAACTCTGTGGCTGTCATCAATTATTCGACGATGTGGTATTCATGAATTTACCGTTGTAATATCCAACCCTCTGCTCTACAGTCTCATTCTGAGCTGGCTATTTTTTTGAGAATTCAATTTTTTCTACCTGACTGATAATCTCTTTGTCTCTGATAGTATACAATATTCAGGTGTTATGATTGGATATGGTTTGTTTGGCCCCACAGAAGCTCATGTTGAAATTTGACCCCCAGTGTGGTGGTGTTGGGAAGTGGGGCCCAATGGAAAGTGTTTGCGTTATTGGGGTAAATACTTCATAAATGACTTGGTTCCATTCTCTCAGTAATAAGTTCTTGCTCTTGGACATTGGACTAGTTCTTTCAGGAATGAATTAGTTCCCACAAGAGCAGGTTGTTATAAAGCAAAGTTCCTCTACTGTTTCCCCCTCCTCCCTCTTTGTAGGTATCCACTTCCCCTTTGACTTATCTGCCATACTGTGACAAAACCCAACCCTCGCCTGAAGCCAAGGCTATGCCATCAAACTTCTCAGCCTGTAGAACTAAATAAACCTCTTTTTCTTTGATAAATTACACAGTCCCAGATATTATTTTATACCAACAGAAAATGGACTACTAGAACAGGATTGTTCAAAAGTATGTGTAGAGTGTACATACATCTTTGAAACTTGTGAAATAAATGGATGCTATCTAGGTCTATAAAGAAAGAAGATTTGTAAGGATTTAAAGTCATACTTTAAATATAAGGTTCTTAGTTTATAAGTTACAAGTTCTTAGACTGTGGCTACTCGGGAGGCTGAGGCAGGAGAATGGCGTGAACCTGGGAGGCCGAGCTTGCAGTGAGCTGAGATTGCACTACTGCACTCCAGCCTGGGCGACAGAGCAAGACTCCATCTCAAAAAACAAAAAAAAAAAAACTTTACTCTAAAGTTAGTTAGTATGAACTCTTCACACATACAAAAATCATGTTCTCTAAGAAGTAAAATTCTTAGAATTGCAAAGAACACAGGAATATATTTCACAGAAATGCATTTCATCGCTCATTTTGTTTTCTGTCTTGGATGAAAATGCATTTAAAAGTCTAACCATTTTAAGTATATGCTCTCAATTTTTGTTCTATTTATATACAGAAGATGGCTTAAACTTCTTCCATGAAAGTAATTTTTTAACACTCTCCAACTATGAGAAATTAAAGATTATAAGATTTCTAATAAGTTGAAATCTTTTCTAAGAGCACTACTAAAAAGTGTTGCTTATAAAAGTTTACAAGTACCAGTGTGCATGGTGTCACTTTTTTATGTGATAAAGAAATATTTTTCCTTCTTATGACTTTATTCTGAATACAAAGGATACGGAAAATAAAATAATTTTTGTAGCGGTAGTAGCTAACATATGAGATATGTTTTTGTTGTGTCCCCAGCCAACTCTCATCTTGAATTGTAGCTTCCATAATTCCTCTGTTTTGTGGGAGGGACCCTGTGGGAGAAAATTGAATCATGGGAGCAGTTTCCCCCATACTCCCCATACTGTTCTCTTGGTAGTTAATAAGTCTCATGAGATCTGATGATTTTATAAGGGGTTTTCCCTTTCACTTGTCTCTTATTCTCTCTTGTCTGCTGCCATGTAAGACATGCCTTTTGCCTTCCACCATGATTGTGAGGCCTCCTTAGCCACATGGAACTGTGAGTCCATTAAATCTTTTTTTCTTTATAAATTACCCAGTCTCAGGTATGTCTTTATCAGCAGCATAAAAACAGACTAATACAATACGTTATGCATTTATCTGTGCCTGGCATTTTTCTGTATGCTTAATTAATATAACCTTATGAGGTCATAGGTATTACAGGTGTACAGTTTTGCTGAAATCATTAGGGACAGATGTGTTTAAAAAATTAGAGGTTTTAAACATTCAGAAAAATAATACAGTGCATATATTATAGATATGTATTACCCCCAGAAGGGTCTGGGGGCAGCACAACACAAACACATTAACATTTTTATGAAGAAACTTGTAAATGTTCATACTACATGAGAAAATATGGCTATAAGTAACTCATATCTTTTCAGATATATTTGTTGTCAAATAAGTTTGCTATAACCTTAAAAAAATTTTTAACTTTGAAAAATTTTGGATTTTATAATTGTGCTTGAGGGACCTGCATTTTATAGGTGAGGAAATTGAGGTACAAAGATATTAAGTAATTGGCACAAAATAATATCGAAAATGAGTAAGGAAGATGGAAATTGAACCCAGGAAGTTTGCCTCCAGAATCTCTCAACCTCTATTATATAGCTGTACTTGTTGAAGCTTGACATTAAAGAGAAGTTGATTTATCTTTCTCAGTCTTATTTTCGTTCTGTGATCTTACAAATGAATTCATTTTATAGTATGAAACTCGATACCTCATAAAAACCCATTGTTCTTTGAATCTTGACAAGAGATCTACCACTACATGACCTTCATTCACTAATTTTAGTTTTACTTTTAGAAACAACACATGGTAAAGCCACTCTTAAATGATTATAGTTTAAATATTTAAGATCTTGTCATTTTTTTAAAAAATTTCCTTTTGTTTAAACATGCCCAGCTCATTCAGATATTACATTTTTTTCTTTTTCATAACAAGTCAAAATGCCCCCTCACAAGTATCATATTTCTATTAATGTCTCTTTAAAAAGCACATGAGAGAAACAAGTCTGTAAGCTGATTTGGTTTATTTAGAATAGAATACAATGGGATACTTATTCCTATGATAAACATAATTTTCTATTTTTGGCAACTGTGTTAGTTCCCTCACTGCTATAAATAAGTGCCTGAGCCTGGGTAATTTATATACAAAAAGATATTTAATTGGCTTATGACTCTAAAGGCCCCACAGGAAGCATGGTGGCATCTGCTCAGCTTCTAGGGAGGCCTCAGGAAACTTACAACATGGAATAAGGTGAACAGAAACGCAGAACTTCACATGGCCAGAACAGGAGAAAAAAGTGAGAAGGGAGATACTATACACTTTTAAACAACCAGATCTCATGTTAACTCTATAAGGAGAACAGCACTAGAGAGATGGTGCTGAGATTCCTCAGAAACCTCCCCTGTGATCCAGTCACCTCCCACCGGGTCCTACCTTCAACATTGAGGATTATGATTCTATACAATATTTGGGTGGGGACACAGATCCAAACCATATCAGAAACTAATGTGCTAGCTTTCTTACTATCTATATTCTGCTATTAATTTATATTAAATCTATGGTTAACTAACACTCATATAGAGCTTTGAGAGAGTGACATCAGCAAGATGGCAGAATACAACCTTACAGCATTTATGCACTCATGAAAACAACAATTTGAACAAATAACAATGTATAAGCATACCTTCACAAGAGCTAAGGAATCCATGTAAGAGATTATGGAATATGGGTATAGCACTGAAATAAGAAACATCACATTAAAGAGAGTAAGAGTAAGAAGAACAGTTTCACATTATCTGCTTCATCCTCCCCACAATCCCAGGCAACACAGCATGGAGAGAGATACCTGCTGCTTTGAAGAAGTGGAGGGAAGTGCTATGGACCCTAGTATCAGACATGCCCCAGTAAAACACAATGCTAGGCTGCCTCCTCTGACCCCAGGCTTCAGGCTGGCACCTATGGACACAAATTCCAGGACAGCATTTATAGGCTCAGGCATCAGGCTGACATCTGCAGACTTAGTCTGCAAGCTAGCCCCTGCAGCTCTACATTCTGTGTCCTCCCAGCACCAGGCTGGTCCCTTTGGTCACAGGCCTAACACTGGCCCCAACAAATGCTTGCTCCAGCAGACCCAGGGTCCAGAGCCACATGAGTAGACTCCAGTCTCAGACCATCCCCCACAAACCCAGGTTTTAATACTGCTCATATGTACCCATGACTCAGGTGTGCCAATTGGAACCATGCCTCTAGACCAACCCAGCTCCAGGCTAACCTCCACAGACTCATCTTTCAGAATAGCCTCTGAAGAGCCAGGCTTTAGGCCAGTTCCCACAGGGACAGGCTCCAACAGATCCAGAGTCCAGGTGTACACTGGTAGATCCTGATGCTGGGCTGGCCCCTGTAGATCTAGGTTCCAGATAGGTCTTCATGGACCCAGAACCATGGCATGCCCATGCAACTCAGGCTTCAGGTTCAACCACTCACTGATCACCCCAAGACATCAGGCTACCCTGCCTAAGGACTGCAGAAGCAATCTTACCCACAAACCCAAACAGAGGCCCACCAAGAATTTCTGGATGAAGTGACTGGTGAAGGGATTTTGCTGCAAAGCCAATCTGTAAAAACTTCAAAAGTTGTCTGCCTCAAATGTGCAGACCCAATGGAAAGCCATAATGATCATAAAAAATTGAATAATCAGGGAAACATGACATCACCAAAGGAACATAATAAATCACCAGTAACTGACCCTAAAGAAATGAAGATCCACAAACTGCCTGACAAATAATTCAAAATAATCCTCTTAAAGATATTAAGAGAATACAGGTAGAAATAATCCTCTTAAAGACATTAAGAGAATACAGGTAGAAAACTCATAGAAAAACCCCACAAAAATACATAAACAAAATAATTCAAACAAAAAGATAGAAGCTATTTAAAAAGCAATCAGAAATCCTGTAGCAGAAGAATATAATGACTAAAATAAAAATTATACAGACAGCTTCTACAGCAAACTCAAACAGAAGAAAAATTTAGTGAGCTTAAAGACAAGACATCTGAAATTACTCAAAGGAGCAAAAGAAAAAATTTTAAAAGTGAAGATAGCATATATGACTTATAAGATACCATCATGTGAACCATTATGTAAACTATGAGGGTCTCAGAAGTAGTGGAGAGAGAGAAAGGAGAGGAAAGCTTATTTAAAAAAATAATGACAAACAACTTCCCAAATCTGGAGAAGAAAAAGAGCATCCATATCCTTGAAGCCCAAATAACCACAAGTAAATTAGAGATATTCCCTTAGGCACACTATTATCAATTCTGAAAATTAAAAACAGAATTTTGAAAGCAGGAGAAAAGCAACTCATCAAACTCATCACATACAAAGGAACAGTCATAAGACTATCAGAGGATTTCTTAGTAGAAACCTTGCAGACAAGGGGAGAGTGCAATGATATATTCAGAGTGCTGAAAAGGAAAAAAAAAAACAACCCTGTAAACTAAGAACACTATACCAAGCAAGGATGTTATTTAGCTGTGCGACTATGATAAAGACTTTTACAGGCAAATAAAAGCTGTGAGAGTTAATCTGCCATTAGAACTGCCTTATAAGAAATATTAGAACAGATTTCTTTAATTTGAAACAAACAGACGCTAACTAAGAGTCACCTTTGCTCCAGTTCCTAACAAGTTCCTCACCTCCATCTAAGGCCACCTCAGCCTGGACCTTATTGTTCATATCACTATTAGCATTTTTGTTAAGCTATTCAACAAGTCTCTAGGCAGTTCCAAACTTTTCCACATTTTCCTGTCTTCTTTTGAGCCCTCCAAACTGTTCCAACCTCTTTCTGTTACCCAGTTCCAAAGTTGTTTCCACATTTTCAGGTATCTTTTCAGCAATGCCCTGCTTTACTGGTACCAATTTACTGTATTAGTCTGTTTTCACACTGCTGATAAAGACATACCCGAGAATGGGTAATTTAAAAAGGAAAAAGAGTTTAATGGACTTACAGTTCCACATGGCTAGGGAGGCCTCACAATCATGGCAGAAGGCAAGGAGGAGCAAGTCATGTCTTACATGGATGGCAGCAGGCAAAAAGAGAGTTTGTGCAGGGTAATTCCTCTTTTTAAAACCATCAGATCTCATGAGACTTATTCACTATCACAAGAACAGTGAACATTCCAATTACCTCCCACCGGGTTCCTCTCATGACACATGGGAATTGTGGGAGTTACAATTCAAGATGAGATTTGGGTGGGGACACAGCCAAACCATATCATACTGTTTTATTGAAGTGATGATATATTTCTCTCTGACATTTCCCTAATCAATGGATAAGATAATATGATCAACATTATTTTACTGTTACTTATTTTGAGTAAGTAAGAAATGATGCTCCCTGAAGGTCAACTTATTTTTCACATACTAATAAACAATTTCTTTAACAATTGATTCTAGGAGAAACTCAGGGAGTGGGACCAGGATTCTGTGTTTTAACAAGCCCTCCAAGTGATTCTGATGCATATTAAAGTTTGAGCATCACTGGCCAACACTCCTCCCATTCCTACTCCTCAAGGACATTTCAGGAAAATCCCTTAGCTTTCTTGTCTCATTCAATTTCACTACTTGTTTTCAGGCATTAAAATATGTCATGGGTGGAGCCAAGATGACCAAATAAGAACAGCTCCAGTCTACAGCTCCCAGCATGAGTGATGCAGAAGATGGGTGATTTCTGCATTTCCAACTGTGGTACTGGGTTCATCTCACTGGGGAGTGTTGGAAACTGGGTGCAGGACAGTGGGTACAGTACAACAACCCTGAGCCAAAGCAGGGTGAGGCATCGCCTCACCTGGGAAGTGCAACAGTTCAGGGAATTCCCTTTCCTAGTCAAAGATGGGGTGACAGACGTCACCTGGAAAATTGGGTCACTCCCGGCCTAATATTGGGCTTTTCCAATGGTCTTAGTAAATGGCACATCAGGAGATTATATCCTGTGCCTGGCTCAGAGGGTCCTATGCCCACGGAGCCTCGCTCATTGCTAGCACAGCAGTCTGAGATCAAACTGCAAAGTGGCAGTGAGGCTGGGGGAGGGGCACCTGCCACTGCCAAGGCTTGAGTAGGTAAACAAAAAAGCCAGGAAGCTCCAACTGGGTGGAGCCCACCGCAGCTCAAGGAGGCCTGCCTGCCTCTGTAGACTCCACCTCTGGAGGCAGGGCACAGACAAACAAAAGGCAGCAGAAACCTCTGCAGACTTAAATGTACCTGTCTGACAGCTTTGAAGGGAGTAGTGGCTCTCCCAGCATGCAGCTGGAGATCTGAGAACGGACAGAATACCTCCTCAAGTGGGTCCCTGACCCCCAAGTAGGCTAACAGGGAGGCAACTCACATTACGGGCAGACTGACACCTCACAAGGCCGGGTACCCCTCTGAGACAAAGCTTCCAGAGGAACGATCAGGCAGCAACAATTTCTGCTCATCATTATCTGTTGTTCTGAAGCCTCCGCTGCTAATACCCAGGCAAACAGGGTCTGGAGTGGACCTCCAGCAAATTCCAACAGACCTCTAGGTGAGGGTCCTGACTGTTAGAAGGAAAACTAACAAACAGAAAGGTCATCCACTCAAAAAATGCATCTGTATGTCACCATCATCAAAGACCAAAGGTAGATAAAAACACAAAGATGGGGAAAAAAACAGAGCAGGAAAACTGGAAACTCTAAAAATCAGAATGCCTCTCCTCCTCCAAAGGAATGCAGCTCCTCACCAGCAATGGAACGATGCTGGACGGAGAATGACTTTGACGAGTTGAGAGAAGAAGGCTTCAGGTGATCAAACTACTCCAAGCTAAAGGAGAAAGCTCGATCCCATGCAAAGAAGTTAAAAACATTGAAAAACAATTAGATCAATGGCTAACTAGAATAACCAATGCAGACAAGTCCTTAAAGGACCTGATGGAGCTGAAAACCAAGGCATGAGAACTACGTGGCAAATGCACAAGCCTCAGTAGCCGATTTGATCAACTGGAAGAAAGGGTATCAGTGATGGAAGATGAAATGAATGAAATGAAGTGAGAAGACAAGTTTAGAGAAAAAAGAATAAAAAGAAATGAACAAAGCCTCCAAGAAATATGGGACTATGTGAAAAGACCAAATCTACGTCTGATTGGTGTACCTGAAAACGACGAACAGAAGGGAACCAAGTTGGAAAACACTCTGCAGGAAAATATCCAGGAGAACTTGCCCAATCTAGCAAGGCAGGCCAACATTTAATTTCAGGAAATACAGAGAACACCACAAAGATACTCCTCGAGAAGAGCAACTCCAAGACACATAATTGTCAGATTCACCAAAGTTGAAATGAAGGGAAAAATGTTAAGGGTAGCTAGAGAGAAAGGTCGGGTTACCCACAAAGGGAAGCCCATCAGACTAACAGATGATCTCTCAGCAGAAAATCTGCAAGCCAGAAGAGAGTGGGGGCCAATAGTCAACTTTCTTAAAGAAAAGAATTTTCAACCCAGAATTTCATATCCAGCCAAACTAAGCTTCATAAGTGAAGGAGAAATAAAATACTTTACAGACAAGCAAATGCTGAGAGATTTTCACACCACCAGGCCTGCCCTAAAAGAGCTCCTGAAGGAAGCACTAAACATGGAAAGGAACAACGGGTACCACCCACTGCAAAAACATGCCAAATTGTAAAGACCACAAGGCTAGGAAGAAACTGCATCAACTAATGAGCAAAATAACCAGCTAACATCATATTGATAGGATCAAATTCACACATAACAATATTAACCTTAAATGTAGATTGGCTAAATGCTCTAATTAAAAGACACAGACTGGAAAATTGGATAAAGAGTCAAAACCCATCAGTGTGCTGTATTCAGGAAACCCATCTAATGTGCAGAGTCACACATAGGTTCAAAATAAAGGGATGGAAGAAGATCTACCAAGCAAATGGAAAACAAAAAAAGACAGGGGTTGCAATCCTAGTCTCTGATAAAACAGACTTTAAACCAACAAAGATCAAAAGAGACAAAGAAGGCCATTACATAATGGTAAAGGGATCAATTCAACAAGAAGAGCTAACTATCCTAAATATATATGCACCCAATACACAAACACATTCAAAAGCTAGCAGAAGGCAAGAAATAACTAAGATCAGAGCAGAACTGAAGGAAATAGAGACACCAAAAACCCTTCAAAAAATCAATGAATCCAGGAGCTGGTTTTTTGAAAAGATCAACAAAACTGATAGACCACTGGCAAGACTAATAAAGAAGAAGAGAGAGAAGAATCAAATAGATGCAATAAAAAATGATAAAGGGGATATCACCACCAATCCCACAGAAATACAAACTACCATCATAGAATACTATAAACACCTCTATGCAAATAAACTAGAAAGTCTAGAAGAAATGTATAAATTCCTCAACACATACATCTTCCCAAGACTAAACAAGGAAGAAGTTGAATCTCTGAATAGACCAATAACAGGCTCTGAAATTGAGGCAATAATTAGTAGATTGCCAACCAAAAACAGTCCAGGACCAGTTGGATTCACAGCCAAATTCTAACAGAGGTATAAGAAGGAGCTGGTACCATTCCTTCTGAAACTATTCCAATCAATAGAAAAAGAGGGAATCCTCCATAACTCATTTTATGAGGTCAGCATCATCCTTATACCAAAGCACGGTAGAGACAAAACAAAAAAAGACAATTTTAGACCAATATCCCTGATGAACATCGATGCAAAAATCCTCAATAAAATGCTGGCAAACCGAATCCAGTAGCACATCAAAAAGCTTATCCACCATGATCAAGTGGGCTGCATGCCTGGGATAAACGTAACCCAGCATATAAACAGAACCAAAGACAAAAACCACATGATTACCTCAATAGATGCAGAAAAGGCCTTTGACAAAATTCAACAACCCTTCATGCTAAAAACTCGCAATAAATTAGGTATTGATGGGACGTATCTCAAAATAATAAGAGCTATCTATGACAAACCCACAGCCAATATCATACTCAGTGAGCAAAAGCTGGAAGTATTCCCTTTGAAAACTGGCACAAGACAGGGATGCCCTCTCTCCTCACTCCTATTTAACGTAGTGTTGGAAGTTCTGTCCAGGGCAATCAGGCAGGAGAAGGAAATAAAGGGTATTCAATTAGGAAAAGAGGAAGTCAAATTGTCCCTGTTTGCAGATGACATGATTGTATATCTAGAAAACCCCATCATCTCAGCCCAAAATCTCCTTAAGCTGATAGGCAACTTCAGTAAAGTCTCAGGATACAAAATCAATGTGCGAAAATCACAAGCATTCTTATACACCAATAACAGACAAACAGAGAGCCAAATCATGAGTGAACTCCCATTCACAATTGCTTCAAAGAGAATAAAATATCTAGGAATCCAACTAAAAAGGGATGTGAAGGACCTCTTCAAGGAGAACTACAAACCACTGCTCAATGAAATAAAAGAGGATACAAACAAATGGAAGAACATTCCATTCTCATGGGTAGGAAGAATCAATATTGTGAAAATGGCCATACTGCCCAAGGTAATTTATAGATTCAATGCCATCCCTATCAAGCTACCAATGACTTTCTTCACAGAATTGGAAAAAACTACTTTAAAGTTCATATGGAACCAAAAAAGAGCCCACATTGCCAAGTCAATCCTAAACCAAAAGAACAAAGCTGGAGGCATCACGCTACCTGACTTCAAACTGTACTACAAGGCTACAGTAATCAAAACAGCGTGGTACTGGTGCCAAAACACAGATATAGACCAATGGAACAGAACAGAGCCCTCAGAAATAATGCCACATATCTACAACCATCTGATCTTTGACAAACCTGACAAAAACAAGAATGGGGAAAGGATTCCCTATTTAATAAATGGTGCTGGGAAAACTGGCTAGCCATATGTAGAAAGCTGAAACTGGATCCCTTCCTTACATCTTATACAAAAATTAATTCAAGATGGATTAAAGACTTAACTGTTAAACCTGAAACCATAAAAACCCTAGAAGAAAACCTAGGCAATACCATTCAGGACATAGGCATGGGAAGGACTTCATATCTAAAACACCAAAAACAATGGCAACAAAAGCCAAAACTGACAAATGGGATCTATTTAAACTAAAGAGCTGCACAGCAAAAGAAACTACCATCAGAGTGAACAGGCAACCTACAGAATGGGAGAAAATTTTTGCAACCTACTCATCTGACAAAGGGCTAATATCCAGAATCTACAATGAACTCAAACAAATTTACAACAAAAAAAACAAACAAACCCATCAAAAAGTGGGCGAAGGTTATGAACAGACACTTTTCATAAGAAGACATTTATGCAGTGAAAAGACACATGAAAAAATGCTCATCATCACTGGCCATCAGAGAAATGCAAATCAAAACCACAGTGAGATACAATCTCACACCAGTTAGAATGGCAATCATTAAAAAGTCAGGAAACAACAGGTGCTGGAGAGGATGTGAAGAAATAGGAACACTTTTACACTGTTGGTGGGACTGTAAACTAGTTCAACCATTGTGGAAGACAGTGTGGCGATTCCTCAGGGATCTAGAACTAGAAATACCATTTGACCCAGCCATCCCATTACTGGGTATATACCCAGAGAATTATAAGTCATGCTGCTATGAAGACACATGCACACGTATGTTTATTGTGGCACTATTCACAATAGCAAAGACTTGGAACCAACCCAAATGTCCAATGATAGACTGGATTAAGAAAATGTGGCACATATACACCATGGAATACTATGCAGCAATAAAAAATGATGAGTTCATTTCCTTTGTAGGGACATGGATGAACCTGGAAACCAACATTCTCAGCAAACTATTGCAAGGACAAAAAACCAAACACTGCATGTTCTCACTCATAGGTGGGAATTGAAGAATGAGAACACATGGACACAGGAAGGGGGACATCACACTCTGGGGACTGTTGTGGGGTGAGTGGAGGGGCGAGGGATAGCATTAGGAGATATACCTAACGTTAAATGATGAGTTGATGGGTGCAGCACACCAACATGGCACATGTATACATATGTAACAAACCTGCACGTTGTACACATGTAC
This sequence comes from Homo sapiens, assembly GCF_000001405.40. Classification (NCBI taxonomy): domain Eukaryota; kingdom Metazoa; phylum Chordata; class Mammalia; order Primates; family Hominidae; genus Homo; species Homo sapiens. The sequence goes on along the minus strand of NC_000012.12, from coordinate 38,225,538 downwards.
CCTAAAACTTAAAGTATAAAAAAGAACAGCAAAAAAACACAATTGATTCTAGAAATTTACTAAGTATCAACAGTGAGGTTGTCATTTCCAGTAGTTACTAGTACCTTGATTTTGGAAATTCGAACAGTTCTCCTAATATTCTTGATTTCTTTTAATATAAATGTTCCTAGATGGTATATAAATGTTCTTTCATTAATCTGTTATAAAATTAATAAGAACTTGGATACTTGAGCATATTAAAATTACTTTGTCTTTCTTATTACATTCTTACCTCTAATGAGCTGCTACTGCTTTTTTCCCATTGTTTGTTTCGCACTTTCCAATTATAGGCCTATTCAGACGGTTAGAGAAGATATGTTTGTGAGTGTATTTTTTCTGTAACCTGTTAATATAATGTCATATTTACCAATCAATAGCTTATTGTTTCTTCTTCCCATTTATTTTTATTTACTAATGGCAATAATAACTAACCTTTAAGAGATTTTACATGTGCCACAATTTTTTTATGCTTCTGCTTACTTAATCTTCAAAACAATCTTAAGAGATTGGCATTCTTATTAACCTCATCCTCAGAAGAAGGGAGTGATTATCTTGGAAATATATTTCCATTCACATAGGTCATAGCAGACTAGGGCAACGGCTGCCAAAAAAAAAATTAGTAATAGAACCTGAGGTCAGTTAATTGGTTTTTAATTAGCTGATTTGTGTTCTGGTCTCTGAACTAGTCAAAAACTCCATTATTGTCAACTATATGTTAAAATTTGGCAGTATACCTAATTTCACAAGATAAACTGTAACAAATACAGCCAGAGAGTGAAAATAATTTGTGCTTGTGGTTGAAAGATTCATTTTATGTTAGCTAGCTTAATATTAAATCTTGCAAATAAAAATACAAAGTGACCTCTTTTAGGAAGACTGAAAGACTTTGAGAAAAACAATAAAACACCTCATTCATCATAACCTTCTATTTAGAAATAAACCTAAGCCTTTTATTTTAAGAAACTTAAGTTTAAAAGAATGAGTGTAAAGAAGTCACTGCTTAAAGGCAAAGTCACATTTGATGACATGGTGAGGAAACTGATTGAAAGCATTTTCTGCCTCAAATGGCCTTAGACCTGTTTAGCTTTTTTATCTCCGTGATTTGAAGCTTTCAAGGTGTATGCTTTTTTTCTATTTTCCAATCTTTCCAAAACATTTTGGGAAGACTGAATATTTATCAAAAAATACAAAAACTTAGAAATATATTTTTTCCATTTTCTGCTATTTATTTTCAGGGAAGCTAAAGGGGTTTATAGATTTACCTATTATAAGGAAGCTTGTTATCATGTATGTTTTCTCTACAGCAAATCGTGATCCACAGAATGGCGAGGCAAGAGAAAATGCATCCTTCTGATCCCTCATGATGGCAAAGGACAGACACTTAAACACAGCGAGACCTACCTAAAACGGTGTATGAAGTATTTTGAGGTCAAACAAAAGTTTTCTCCCAAAATATCATAATTATTCTTGCTTATCAGTGCCTGGGTCATTCACCAATAATTCATCTTTCTACTCTTCAGGAATTTTGTATCTCAGAAGGCAACACTACAACCTGAGAAGCAGCCCTTTAGTAACTGTTACAACTCAGCATGAACTGGTAAATTGCTTATCTTAGCTTATCAAAGCTTATCAAAAAATAGCATGTTATCCAAGAAGGATAGACTTTAATAGGGCTGGAAACATCTTGAACTTCAACTGTGGCATGGAGAGCAAAAGGGAGGAATATGTTATGGGTTTGCATGTCTTCACAGAGCAGAACAGGTGGATCGTATTTTATTTTATTTTATTTTTTTAGGTTGTTTTCTTCAGCTGTTAGGGAACTGTCTCCTAGAAAGGACTGAATTTAGCATTGCAAACATTATCAATAGTAACTGGAATTCCATTTCTTTATAAGCAGACTTCCTGTCAACTGGTTACTCTTTGAGGGTTTTTTTTTAAACCAAAATTTGAAGATTTTTTTGGTTGATAATACACTTTGAAATGTTCCAGAGATGTCTTAGTAGCTTTTTTTGTATTATGCATCAAACGCATCCTGGGTTGACATTTAATAGAATAATATTCCATAAGGAAAATTGCTTACTTCAATTTTTCTGTTTGGACAACAGAATCTTAATTATAAAGGTGATATATTTTATTCAATTTAGTTATCTAGCTGAAACTAACCAAGAAAGGGTTATATAACCCTAAAACTTAAAGTATAATAATAAAAAAAAGTGAAAAAAAGAATTTTATGAAGACAACAAAAATATAATGGTGACTAAATCTACATTATTGTACAGTAAGATTGTACATAATTATATAAAGCAAAGTACATAATTATTATGTAGGGTCTGATATCAATTTCTCTTCATTAGAGATTGATGAAACCTCTTTGCCAAGGATTGACTAAAGAAAGTGTTTCTACTTTGATCTGTTTTTAGTTTTCCTTTCTTTTTTTTTAAAATAACATCCAAGTTCTGTCTTTTATATATGATTTACCTTAATAACTCTGCCGGTGATATTAATTATGATTGCTTCTTTGATATTATAAATTTCATTAGTTATTAATCTCTGCATCTGAAATTGCTTAAAGCTTTAAATGTAAAATTTTAAAGTTTCATAAACTTAATTTATTTTAAAAATAAATTTAGGTATTCCCTTTAGCATAAAACAGGCACATATATAACATAAAAATTTAGATAAGAAAATGACTATCCATTAGTCTACTAAACTGTATATTTCCTTTCCGATTTTTAATGCATCTTTATGTTCATAAAATTTTTAAGTCACTGTATATCTGTTTTGTACCCTTTACCTTTCACACCAGAGAATGTGCAAGGCAGGGTAGAAGTTTATTGAGTGACAGAAAAGTTCTCGATAGTGAGAGGTGATCTGAAATGGTAGCTGTCTGTGTGGCTGAGTCCGGGGTTATTATGAGCTTGGAATGGGGGCATTCATGCTGATTGGTCCGTGGGTGGTCTTGGAAAAAGCATCACTCAATTGGTTAAAAGGCACTATCCAGAAGGAACCAATTCAGAGAGAGAGAGGAGAGTAGGTAAGACAGAGATAGAAGTTCTCACTCCAGTCATGGACTCTGTCTGAAACTGGCAGCTCGGTCCTCAGGTTGAAGGTTGAGTCCTACCAGAGACCCGCCCCTGTCTGCCTTGGAATTTGTCTATCTCCTGTCACTATCACCATGACTAAGTACTGGGTACCCCTCTCATAGCTCACAAATATTAACTTGGGTATTCCAGAAATGTCTTGGGAAACTTGATTCTTTTCCCGTATCCCAAGTTCTTAATGACTGAGATCCACCTCATTCCTCTGTGCTCTCACTGACTGTGTTTTCTGCCTGGAATCTCATGTCTGCCTAGTAGCCTTCACCTCAAATGGCATTTTTCACTCCTGACCCCCGGATCCATCTGTTATCACTCTCTGATAATGATTAGCCAGCCACCTGGAGTGATCTTAACACCTGGACTTTTTGAGTTTCACGTATCCTAACTGTACTTGAGTAACCAATTTGATTTTCATCTCCATTGAGATTCCTGAATTACTATTTCTTGAATGTCTTTGCTTCTGGTTTCCTTAGCTCCTTCCCTAGGATAACTAAACTCTATCCTTGTTGTTGTGTTTAGAATGTCCCTTTTCTTGCATTCCTTCTAGTGCCTCTCACCAGTCTTTGGTGCATAAATCAGTCTTTTGTGCAAAAATCTATTATATTGCTGGGTTTCATCTTAAATTTCTTCAATGTTCCCAATTTAGATGACAGCGTTAATACTTTATTGTTCTGACTACTGAAAGTTGATTTCTTTCAAAGGCATTTTTGTGTTTTACTTTTGAGTAGTGAATCATGAACATTCATACTCACTGACTAATTTAGCAAGACAATTCAATTTATTATTATCACCAGTTCTGATTCTGCAGGGTAATGGTGTTTTCTGACTTAAGTGATTAAAATGTTTTTCACTTCAAAAGCTTTTAGAAACATTTGTTTACCATTACTTAAAAGACTAATTATAACGTTGGGCTATAAATATGCTTATTCTTCAGACATTTTTTCTTCAGGGTAGTTGATTTTGTTATCTCTGAGTATTCTTGTGATTGCAATTAAGTTGAAAGCAGTGTTATAAAATATACATTATTTTTGTGAGCTTAGATGATAGCTCTCAATCTTACCAAATACAAATTTTGAAAGCTATAACACTTTTTAATCTACTTACATTTATAGGACTATAATTTTCAGACAAGCATATGTCTATGTTATTCACATAACTATTATCTTTGTCAATACACAAATGAATAACAAAAGATAAAAGATCTGATTTATGTATCTAGTTACCAGAATTCAGTTAGGTTTAATAGTCTTTATCAAGAATAGCATAAAAGCCTGTAAGATGGTAATGCATTTAGGTTTTCATAGATGTGATAGAAACACAAAGTGACAGTAGCTCAAACATGGTGAAGGTTTGTTTCTCATGAAAGTACGAATTTAGGTAATTCAAGGCTGTTGTGGTAATCTACAGATTCATTTGTTGATGTGGTCTTTATCCTAAAGTTTCAAAGTAGAGAGAGCTCCAAGAATTCCTCTTTCAAACAGTAAGATAAAGAAAATAGGGTCATCAGGGTCACAATCCTGCAGTTTAAGGACATGATCCAGACTTCTTATACACCACTTCCATTTACATTTTCTTAGTGACAGCTTAGTCATGCAACCACACCTATTTGCAAGGGAGATTAGGAAATGAAGTCTTTGTTCTGGGTAGCCATGTGCCCAGGAATAGCCATCAGTCTACGATAGGTTTGAAATGTGCTATTATATAATATATTCTATATGAAAGTGAATTTTATTGCAATGAAGTTCTTTAAGACAGTGGTACCCAAACATTTCTTCCAACAAAAAGTGAAATCCAACATATAAACTAGAGAAAGCTGAGCTACCTGATTAAAATGGTGGGTATAGGAATGTTACCTGTATCATGAGTCTGCCTCTGCTCCCAATTAATCCAGTCTTGCAAAGGAGCTTGAGGTTCCTAGGTCTTCATGGATCAGTATGACTGATCTATATATAAAGGAACTGATTTATATATATATAAAGGAACTAAAACATTCCTTTATAGTTTTAAATAGGTATTGATGTGTAATAAGGAACATATTTGACCACTGTTAAAAAATCAATAGGTATTGCTAAGAGGAAATAAAATAATTTTATTGAGAGCAAGAAACAACCTCAGATAAGATTCCTTCAACTTTTGGTTAAATAATTTATTTTTCAAATGATATCTATATGGTGATACCTGGGAGAGGCAAGTAATACTTTTTTTATAAACAAATGCTCACAATATTATTTCCGAATCATGAAGCCATTATTAACTTACATTGATCAAATTGCTAAGCAATGGCATTGTATTATATGTTTGAAATAACCAGATATTTTTAAAAGCTTAACTAATGACTTTTCTATATCAGTACCTGTGTCTGACTTTGGAATGTGTGTGTGTGTGTATTTTTTTTTTTAAATTTTATCCTTAAAACAAGTCTGCAAGCATGCCAGGTAAATGAGATTTTGTTAAGCCTAACTTCAAATATTCAAATGCAATAAAGGAAGCCTTGCTTTTAAGAATATTTATAAGAAGTTTTATTTTAAGAAAGCAGCCTGATTCTGTGCTTTGATCTACATCAACAGAGAATCATAGAGTTTTTGAACTGCGTGCTGGAAAAGGACTTTTAGGATTAGGTCCAATGACCCATCCAATGTTTAAATGTATTTTCATACTCAAAGGCCCAAGCTATTAATGAACTACACCAGAGTGGGACTTCATTTAAGGGACACATACATTATCACTAATAATGTGATTTTGCTTTTTCTGTTTCTTCATTACGTTTTTGAAGGATCACAATTATTATTTCCTTCGATATAGGCACAGGAATGACTTGATAAAGCAAATGTTAAGTTACTAAACCTGCTTATGTTTATTGTCAAAAAAGTGGCTGTTAATTGTTTAATTGTGGCCTGAGGGAAATTACTTGGAGATACATCTAATTTTGACTTATAGTCACATGAAAGGTGATCTGTAGAAATGTCTGTAGAAAATGTGGAAACAAACACTGCAAAATTATTATGAACATTATATTTGTGGGGCTCCTTTTCAGTCTGTTAGAAAGTTTTCCAGCAAATAAATCATGTGAACAGCAATATGACTAAAGGTGTAGAACATAGCATCGAGTTCTGATATTAAACCAACCTAGGAGAGATAGAGTTTATATTACCTTTCTATTACCGCTGTAACAAATTACTGCAAACCTGGTGGCTTAAAACAATTTACATTTATTCTTTTATAGTTTTGGAAACCTGAATTCCAAAATTATCTTACTGGCTTAAAGTCAAGATGTCAGCAGGGACATGCTCCCTCTGGAGGTTCTAGGAGAGAATTCATTTCCAAAGGTTTTCCCATCCCTCATCTTGCGACCCCCATTCTACATCTTTAAAGTCAGACACATCAGGTACAGTTCTGCCCACACCGCATTCATTTTATCTTCTCTTCTGTCTCCTTCTTTCACATGTAAGGACCTGTGTTAACATTGTAAGCACCTGGACAATCCATGCTATCTCTCTGTTTTAAGGCTATTTGATTAGCAACCTTAATTCAACTTTCAATGTAATTCTCCTTGTAATTTGCCATGTAGCCATACATATCCACAGGTTCTGGGGATTAGGGCATGGCATCTTTCAGGGGATGTTATTCTGTCTATGTCAAGGTTCTAAGGCAATATTTCCAAGAATTTTACAGAGTTCTTAATCATATTATACATAGAGCTGAAATTTGAAGGAAGGAATAGTTTATTTTCTGATTAGAATAAAGAAAACAAAGCATTAAGTTGCCTTCTCAATATCTGTACTTAGCCAACACAAAATACATTTTCTTCTCATTTGTCTCCCTACTTATAAAAACATCAACAGCACAGAGCAATAAAGTCAAATAAAAATCTCACTATCCTAAAGTATTTGTAAAGAATTAGCAATAAAAATCTAGGTGGCAAATTTACTTGTTACAATTACTAAAGAATATGAATTCTCAAATTTAGTAGAAATGCTGTCTTCATAGTCAAGGGCCTCAAGTCAGTTATAAAATGTTAATTTCTCTCGTTAGTAACGTTCTTGTTTCCCTGAAAAAAAAAAAGTTAGTGTTTATGCCTTCACATAATACTTTAGCATCTGCTTTTTTTCATCCATCCCGCAAGGGTAAGAAAACTGTTAAGCTCTTTCCTCCTCTCTTGGAATTCATCAGTTACTGTCAATGAAGGGCCTGTGCTATGCACAGTAATGCATTATGTTTTGTGGACATGAAACATAAAAGAGGAACAACACCTGTTTCTTGCCCTGGAAAATCAGTCAAAACAGTGGCATTAATTTTGAGAAACCAAAGAGAGCCATGATCCTTCACATCATCACAATGTAGTGACCCAATATCTCTGAAGGGAAAGAAAAAGGGATTATATGAAATGTGGAAACATGAAGTATGATAAAAATGAAAATTAGCTTTTGGTTTGCAAGAGTAATTACTGAAATATTTTCATTAAGCTAGAATTTTAAAACACCAGTATATGAATCCAAACTCATTGATACATTTACTGTTTCTTTATCAGATTATTCCTCCTCCATGATGCCTGTGAGAGGAAAAGATACTACAAATAAAGGCTGCAGTCTGAGTTTTTACTAAGATACGGACATCCAATATACAGCCTGTTGGACATTTTTAAGTTAAAACAAAAATATTGTCCTAATTAGCTAGTCCAAATGAAAGTGCAGTAGTGTG